>NC_000010.11:15464545-15616060 GCF_000001405.40 Homo sapiens | reverse complement strand
TCAAATACAACAGCTATGGATTCCAAGCCTGGACATTCCATACACTGACTTATTTGTAATCTTGGGCAAGTTCTTATCACTTTCAGAGTTTCAGATTTCTGATCTGTAAAAGAAGGATAAAAACAACATTTATAACGTTACCTTTGTTCAAAGCATTCAGTGAGAATATGCGTGTGGTGTACACAGAATAGTAACTGGGAGAGAGGTGGTGCTCAACTTTAGCTTCTTTTAAAAAAAAAAGTTTTATGGCAGGACACGGTGCCTCATGCCTATAATCCCAGCACTTTGGGGGGCCGAGGTGGGCGGATCACTTGAGGTCAGGCATTTGAGACTGGCCTAGTCAACATAGCAAAACCCCATCTCTACTTAAAATACAAAAATTAGCCGGACATGGTGGTACACGCCTGTAATCCCAGCTACTCGGGAGGCTGAGGCATGAGAATCACTTGACCCTGAGAGGTCGAGGTTGTAGTGAGCAGAGATTGTGCCACTGCACTCCAGCCTGGAAGACAGAGTGAGACTCCATCTCAAAAATAAACAAACATAAAAGGTCATATGACTTATGAGAATTCAAGACACTAGGTCAGGATATCAAGACAAAAGGCCGAGGGCATACCTGGGTGTACTAGGTGCATAGTGCTAACCTAATCGGCTTCCAGAGATATTCTAAGGTTAAGTTTCCTCAAATAGGTAAGATTTTCTTCTTCGTCAGTCCCAAGACAAACTCAGAGAGGGTTGACTTGTACCAGCCATATCCCACTTAAGGTTCTAGAGAATCAGACAGTCAAAACCCTCAAGGTGTCTGAAGTATGGGGCTTGCGTTTGCGGTGGCTGTGGAGTGCACCACTCAGAGCTGCTGGAGCAGAATGGGCACAGGGCTCAGCTGCTCCGCTTCCAATCCGCCACTTTCATGCCAAGGCCTTGTTTTCCATGAGCTGCTCCCAGCCAATTAGCGGACACAACAAGAACACAAATGCAGGCCTGTTTTTGCAAGACATGGAACTCCTCTCACGGGCAAATTTGGCTCAAGGACTCTCCATTGCCCAGGCCAGAACTTTCTTACCCAGTCCTCTGTCCTTCCCTTGATCCTTCCAGGGATCAGAACTCCCAGCCCCCTCCATCTCCCCACTTTTCCTCATAAGTGTTTGATCCCAGTATATCTCTTGCATATCTAGTTCCGTTTTATCACCTGCTTTTCCAAGGAGTGGAACTAACACGGTATTGAAAGCAAAATTATGTAACAAAATACAGAGAAGTGGCTTGAAGGAACTTAGGAGGAATCCCATCAGGCCCACTGCTTATTGTTTAAAGCAGTGCTGTAAACCCATTCAGCCCCAAGACACAGCCCTTCTTCTTGTTGGGGGGAAACTTATCCAACATGGCTTCATTTCTCCCTGTCATTTGAGGACTTTGGCTTCCAACGATCATATCTTGGAACCAAGCTTTAAAATCTGCTCTATTCCCTTCCCCCATGATTTATTAATACTTTTTTGTTTTGTTATCCTCATCTGGGTGGCTGCAATTGAGTTTACTTACACTCTGTCAGTCTCTCTCCTCAAATTTGGCTACATATTATAATCACCTGGAGAGTTTGTTTAAAATTCCAATGTCTGATCCTTACCCCATAAGTTCTGGTTCAGTTGGTGTGGCAGGGCCTGGGCATAGAATTTGTTTTAAAGCTCTTTAGGTGATTACATTGTGCAGTCAGGATTGAGAACCACTTCTCTGGCTGATGTACAGAATTATTCTGCAAACCCTGCTTCGTGTATTTAGCTAAATTTGCAAAGCTCAGCTTGAAAACTATCAACAGAAATTTAAAAATTATCAATGATAATTTGCAAACTTCAAGTACTCACAAAATTAAAATTATCAATGAAAAGTTGCAAACTTCAAGTACTCACAAATACGAATGGCTGTAAGATGATGTATTTCATCAGATACAGATGTAGATATGCTAGCAGGTGGCAGAGCAATATTTCACAGCAATATTGCCATAATACCGGAGGCCCACTTCATAATGAAATTAGGTTGTGTACGCAACTTTGCTTGACAGACCCACAGCACTCTTTATTTGTATTTGTGTGCTTCCAGATGTGTTTTGAGGTAATTAGTTGAGTGTGATACCCAGCTGTTCATGCAGTGAGCAAAATTCTTGGCACAAATGCTGAGAACGTTGGCAATGGCCTGTGGAGTATTCTGTCTACTACTGAGTTCAGTATGCAGTGAAGTGGGCTTCTGCCTGCCTATCACCCTTGTGTTTTATTTAAACAAACCCTGCATTTTCTCCCCGCAGAGCAAGACCGGTTGTGACTGTAGATGCCCAGCTTCTGCTGCACCCAATGATTATCAATCTTGAAAATAAAACTTGCCAGGTTCCAGACTCTATGACATCTGCTGCCTGGTGAGTTAGTCCGGTGCTTCTCAAACTCCAATGTGAATTCACATCACCTGGGTATCTTGTGAAAAATACAGATTTGGATTCAGTAAGTCTGGGGTAGGGCCTAGATTTTGCATTTCTCGAAAAAAGCTTCAAGAGATGCTGCTGCTGCTGGTCTGTGGCCGAAGTTTGAGTAGCAAGGAGTTAGTCTTTCAAGAGAACCTATGATATGATGCTGATCTTTGGCTATCGACTTACCATTCAAAGGCTACTTCTCTAATCTATAGGCTCTAGGTGAGATGAGAAGTATAAAAACATTTGGGGAAATTCCCAGTCAAACAAATCTTGGAGATAGCTCTTAGATTCTTGGTGTACTAAAATAAACACTAACCAAGGTAAAAATATAACAAAATACCTAGACTCTTACATTTTGGCATATGCTTATAGATACTGCTTTTCAAGCACATATAATGTCCTGTTTATTTATTTATTTATTTATTTATTTATTTATTTTTTATTTATTGAGATGGAGTCTTGCTTTGTCACCCAGGCTGGAGGGCAGTGGCACAATCTTGGCTCACTGCAACCTCCACCTCCCAGGTCCAAGCGATTCTCGTGTCTCAGCCTCCTGAGTAGCTGGAATTACAGGCACCCACCATCATTCCCAGCTAATTTTTGTATTTTTAGTAGAGACGGGGTTTCACTATGTTAGTCAGGCTGGTCTCGAACTCCTGACCTCAGGTGATCCACCTGCCTTGGCCTCCCAAAGTCCTGGGATTACAGGCGTGGGCCACCATGCCCAGCCGATGTCCCATTTCTAACTAGTCAATTTACTGGGTTAATTTACTGGGTTTTCTATGCTGACAACAGATACCAGTTTTGTAACTTAGCATGCACAGCTAGACAGAAGGAACACATTATACAAGATTTTTGTGCCATAAGCTGTATTTTTTTGTCTGTCATTAAGAATAGCGATTGAATTATTCCTTTTGCTGGATGATGGAGGCTTTGCTTGTACTTTCAGAAGCTGGCTGATATGACTCCTGAAAGTGTTCCTTCTGAATTTTGTCAGCCATCTGGAGGGAGTACAAGATGGAACTTGACTATAACACAGTTCAAGAAAATACCACTGTTTCCCAATATGTAGGTCCTCAAGAGTTAGAAGTCACTATGTTGGTTAATACCTTCAGGGTATACCCTCTGAAAGATCAACAAATCCTTGGGGTGTTTAATATTTTGCCCTTATTTTTCAGGAGACGTGGTCTAACTCAGACAGTATTTTTGGTTTCTGAGAATGTCAGAATTGCAGAACTAACCACTCTTGACCCAGAGAAGTTATTTCCAGCCAATTTTAACATGTTGTTGATGGCCTTTTGACAGGAGTTCATACTGGAGTCAAAGCTTTTGAGGGTGGAGGGTGGGGACTTAGAGGACCCTGAAGAATTCTTTGAAAAACATCCTATTGCTGGGAGCTGGGGAGTGTGGCGGGAGAGCATCCTCTTCTTTAACTGCTCTTGAAAAGAGTTGGAAAATGCCCTGGGCACATTTGGTTAAAACCATAAAATAGTATAATGAAAACCTGATCTGAGAAAATATGTCAGAGAGCCAGCGTTTATCCTTACCCCTGCATGATTAAATGAACAATGAACTGTGAGAGTTGCTACTTGTTCATGAGTATTAAAACTTCAGTATTTCCCCCAAATAGGCTCATGTTCACACCTTCATAACAGAATGGACTTCTAGGCTGAATTCCTTTAAGCACATGTGGTACACTCTGATATAGAATGTTGTTGTTTTGAACTAGATAATTGATTCTAAGGGTTTTTAGTTTAATGCATATTTGTATAAGACTGAAGTGTGTGGTTTTTTTTTTTTTTTTTTAACCAGATTAAGAGTTCTGTTTGGGGCCGGGCGCGGTGGCTCACGCCTGTAATCCCAGCACTTTGGGAGGCCAAGGCGGGCAGATCACGAGGTCAGGAGATCGAGACCATGGTGAAACCCTGTCTCTACTAAAAATACAAAAAATTAGCTGGGCGCGGTGGCGGGCACCTGTAGTCCCAGCTACTCAGGAGGCTGAGGCAGGAGAATGGCATGAACCTGGGAGGCGGAGCTTGCAGTGAGCTGAGATCGCACCACTGCACTCCAGCCTGGGTGACAGAGGGAGACTCTGTCTCAAAAAAAAAAAAAAAAAAGAGTTCTGTTTGGTTTTATGGAAAGAATATTACTTTTTAACAAGAAAATGTCTTTCTTTTCATGAGCCATTTTCTTACTGCATTTAATCATATTATTAAGATAAAGTGCAATTTGTTATGTGGACAAATGTATATCCCTTTACAATTATATTTGTTTCTATTGCATACATTTTTCTGGAAGAAGTCTTATTTTCACATGCAAAATTTGTGAATGGTGCCTCAGAGCCTCAGAAGACAGAAAGTTAACAGCTGGTTCAGTCTAGAATGTGTTTCTTTGATTCTCTTTTTTCTTTATTTTAGGAACTTAGCTTAGTTTTTCCAAAATGATTGAAAGGTCTCCGTTGATTTTCTCTGCTGTTATTTGTGTCTGTATTTGATATAACTTTATATCATACATCTGAAAACTATCACATAAACTCTACTTGGCAAATAGTTCTTCACTTCCATCGATGTGGATTTCTGTGTCTTTCAAACAGCGGTGTAGTTTTATAAAGTATCTATCTTTAATTGGTATTTCTAAGTTAGAAAAAGGGGGAAAAAAGCCAGCTCAATAAATATTAATATAACTGGTGACTAACCAATTACAAAAAGAAAAACTAGCGAAATACTTCATTTTAGAAATGTAAAAGTGAGTAACGACCCAGTTGTCCAACCTGATTAAAAAAACTTGTCAGATGTGAGTGACTGTGTGAAACCTGCTATTTGCTATCACTGAAATAGGAGTGAAAACTGATGAGAATGTAAAATGAATTGCTTTGTACTTTTAAATCGTGTTTCACATTTATCTCATTTTCTCTTCATCATAGACAGCTGTGAGCACAGTCACAACGCAGAATCATTATTCCAACCGTGCTTGGGTTGGGACTAGCCTCAGAAGATCATGTAGTGTATCACCCTGCCTTCTGGCCATATCAAAAGCACTGTCCACAAACAGTTTAATTTAGAATTTATGTAATAAGGGACTTGGATTGATTTGATGGGTTTTTTTGTTCCAATCAGACCTATTTAGACTAATGGGCCATACTGAAAATGACCAATATTTCTAGTTTGAAATTTTAATTCTAATTTAATGAAAGTTTACAGCTTTCCCTAATGACCCAAGTATACTTTGTAATTAGCTGTAGGCCTGCAAGTGATCCTAATTCTATGCTCCATATGACCTGTGATGTATGTGTGCTTATATATAATATAGTATGTTTTCCTAAATTCAGCATGAACACATCAGCCCACTACTATAAAATCTTGAAATTTTCTTTAGATCATAACACAGAGTTTGAAAAATTATGACTTCACAGACTCTTTTCCACTAAAGTAATCTATTAACTGGCAGGTTTAGGTTGGAGTGCTATTATTGAGAATTCAGTACATTGTAGCAGTGATATTACACTTGTATGAAAAAAAAGTTAAAGTCATCCATTTGGTAATGATATTCAGAAAACAGAAAGAGTGAGCTAAGAAAGAAATAGAGATTTATACTGACAGGTAATTCATAAATAAATAGTAACCCTTTAGCTGATAACATCATTTATCAACTATATACCATCCCATAAGGAAAAAAATGTTCATTTGTATAACTTTATTCCTTTTTAAAAATTAGTTATTTTGAATTGTTTGTATTAAAAATACTGTATCTAAAATGATTTTAATGTATATATGTTGATAATGTCATTACAAATAGGAATTTATTTTATAAAAGCTAATGGCTTTGGTCTACACAGTTAAAGATGAATGGAAAAAAAGATCATTGGCTGATTTGAACATACACCAAAATACTTTCAAAAAGGTTGGATACAGAAAAATTCTAATTTTGAAAGCCAGGCTTACTACAAAATTGAAAGATGTGATTAACTCTTCATCTTTCTTGAATAATTCTAATTGAAGCAGAAGCAAGTTGGAATCAGTGATTTCTCTGGGGAAGCGGAATAAACACTTGTAATAGCGTAGACATTTCAGGAAACTTTTGGCTTAATGGTATGTGGCAAATTATTTACCCTGAGGGGAGACATTGACTGAGGTCACAGCAGATAGATGAATCCCAGATGTGACACTTTTTCATTATATTTGACACAGGAAGCTGACACATAATTAAAGTATGATTGGGGATTATTTACTCCCTTTGAATTCTGTAGAAATATCCACATCATACTATAGTATTTTACTGGTAAAAGTTTATGACTGTCATTAAACCATACTTAAGTATTTTCTTATATTTTCACTTTCCTAGAAATGTGAAAAGGCCCCATCTCTAGTGATAGCTGTTAGGGCTTGGAATTTTTCAGGGAGAGGTGAGCACTTTCATTCAACAAAGGCAGCCAGGGAGTCAGTCGTCTCTCATTCCATCTGTAGCCACAGACCAAAGCCAAGTGCAGATCATCCTATAAGCCAGTGCAGACATTGCCTTGAATGGTAGTGATGGTGTGTTCAAGGCACAACTCCAAAGTGTCTCTCATGGACATCTGCCCTCTCTTGATTGTCTTTATTCCTATATCATTGTGCCCACCTAGCTTGAGACAGCCATGCTAAACTTCCTGTTTTCTCTTTCTCCCCTCCCTCTTCTCGTCTCAACCTCCAGTCTTACCCCAACTGTAGCAAGGTTCTGCCAAATTTCATCTCCTTCCAAGCAGAGTGGGTGTTTTAAGTTAAGCATACCATGTGCTCCATGCTTCTGAAGATTAAATCTGCATTTTTTAGCATGACTTTCAAAGCCCTGTTCCTCACCGATCCACCAAGCCAGCCTTGCCTCCTACAACTTTGCCATCTTGCTCAGTGCCCCGACTACACTGAATTTCTTCAGTTTCCTCAAATGGGTCCAGATTCTTACTCACCTCCAGATTTTACCTCTGGCTATCCTCTTGCTCTGCTGCCTAATTCTTCCCTCCCTGGCACATGGAAGATACTGACCTGTATTCATTGAATAAAAGCAACAAGTAATTGACTAATTGAGCAACTGATTAAATCAGTTAACCTCCTGTACTATTTTCCAGTATTACCTTCCATGTAATAATAATGTCACTTGTCTTGATTGTATTAGTGTTGAGATCAATTGGTAGAAGGGGTGTGTGTGTGGGTGTGTGTGTGTGTGTGTGTGTAATTAGAAATATATAGAGAAAATGATATTCGTTATCTGGGATTAGGTAAAGGAAGGCTTCTACTTTAGATTCAAAACTTTATTAACCAATAAATTACTACTATTTTCTATAGCTTTTCTTTAAGAGTATGTGCATCTGTCACAGGCCAGAGCATTGCAAACACAATAGGTAAGCATGTTTTCATTTTTACATTCTTATGGTATACTAAGAAAGTTGAACAGTAACCATTTCTCTGCACAGACCATAAAAAAATGAAAGAACCCTTGAGGAATACCAAGATATCTGTTGCATATATGGAACCTTCTAATAAATATTACTTCAATACTTGGTAATACTATTATTTATAAGAACATATAATTGTAGGGAAAATGACAACTTTTATAAAACCATTATAAAACATTTGTAGCTTGGAGAGTATGTTATACAATTTTTCCAGCTCATTTATCATGCTTGGTCTCAACTATGAAAAAGAACTGTTTCCTGAATAAGCAACTTGAAATAGAAATTCATCTCTCTGATAGAGCACTGTGTTCACTGAATACTTTTTCTCTACTTTACTTCTGTCCTTTAGTCTTGATGGCAGAGGTGCAATTAGATTCCCTGAAACAGAAAGGAGCTATTAAACGGACGCTCTTCCTTGATAACCATCAGGCTCATCGCGTCTTCCCTCTTGTGATAAAAAGGCAGAAATCCCACCAGTGCCAGGATTTCATCGTTTACCTTCGAGTAAGTATTCCAGAAAGACTTCTCTGGCCTCTCTCCTTCATATCCAAATTCCAACCATTTTTCTCCATTTAACCATCATGTTTGTCTGCATAGACCCCCATCTGTCTGTTTTCATTTTCATAGCAGGAAACTTTATTTTAGGGTCAAATACTCTCCTCTTGACCCTGACTTCAACTAACCTGATGATGTGTTGCTATTAATTTCTAAGGCTTCTTTTCATTTTGATCAAAATCTTTATAATGGCATTCAGCTCACATGGTTTTCATTTCTACCCACCTCCTCCCCAAAATACATAAAAGTGCAACACAGTTTATGTGAATTTTTCTCCTATGTGAGTATGTCTTGTTAGATTTTATCAATGCATGTTTCAGAGCCAATTCAGGAAAATATTTAGGCATTCAAAGCTTTTATTAGAAGTAACTTATAATTATCTTATTTAAAGTAATGTCTTTTTACAATGACTTCAAAACCTACCGAAATTTTAAAGTAAAAATATTTATAACACAATTACCTATCTTCACCTTGCCGGTTGTGAGGTTGTGATAACTGTCTCAATTTCTCTTTTCCATTAGGGGACTTAGTTAGCAAGGACCACCCTAGGGAAGATCACAGGTTCACAATCACACTCAAGAATGAAAAGTTGGATACCTGACCCTTGATTGGCAAACAATTGAAGGGTGACATATCCACCGTGTGTTTAGTGCTTGCTGTTTGGTGCTTACCCCTCTCTACTAAAGGAGTTCTGTTTCTTTTTCCAAAAGAACTTCAAATATCCTGAAGGTGTTCTGAAGTTCATGCAGGCAAGGGCTTAAAAAGATGATGAGAGGAAGAGAATCAAGATGTTTTCTTCTTCTGAGCCCCAAGAGAGAACTCATAAATTCTGGCAACCTCACGAAAATAAAAATCCAAATTCATGATGTTTTTTGTGACATTTATGATATACACGTGTAATCTTTTACTTTGCAACTTGACCAGTTCTGCATGAGTTGTTGAAGGTCTGGAGAACCCAAAGATTGGCTCCAGAAGCGTATTTCAATGAAGCCGCAGCTCTAAATGATTTCATCACTGCACATATATTAGGTATGCTGGCTACTATATACCACATAAATCAGCCTCCATCTAAGCCTGCTGCAAAGATAATTGTTTCATCATTCACTTTCATTGAGTAAATTCCAGTGTTGCCTGACTTTTGCAGACTGACATCTTGCAGCTATTTCATGGAGCCTCTGTTGAGTTTGTGATTATTTTTCCTAGGATGAAACTGAATTCCGAGATAAATTATCTCCAATCAACATTAGTTTGAATTACAGTTTGGACGAATCCACCTTTAAAGAAGGCCTGGAAGTGAAACCAATATTGAACTACTACAGAGAAAACATTGTTAGTGAACAGGTAAGTCCTTCACAGTCTTTGACGGCATTTTCTCAAGCAAGCTCTCTGGGGTGTTGTTCTCATGGCTTTAAGACTAAAGCCAGCTCCTTTCATTTTTACTTCTGCATGCAGACATGGAACATTTGGGAGTTTTCCTACCATGTTTCCTGAAACACTGCATGATTGTGTTTTTCGGAAGCCTTTCCTCTTGTGCAATCAAGATTTAATTTGTTCAAAATGTGGCTGTAATGGAAGCAATACAGCCTGTAATCCTCAAGCCATAGGCAGAGTTGCATTCTTTGCAGATATTTCAGAGTGCATTGGAATTGGGCTATTATGTAAAGTAGCCTGTATTGGGAGGTCACTGTGAAATGTAGGCTATTGGCTTGGGTAGAGTCATGCATAGTGAGAGGAAAGCTCTGGTTCCGTTTGTGGCACCATTCAGAATTTTCAAGAAAAAGGATGTGAATCAGATTTTCCTAGATTGTTCCTGACGTGCGTTTATACAACACAGGCTCACATTCTGGTGGACTGTGGAGAAGACAATCTGTGTGTTCCTGACTTGAAGCTGTCGGCTAGACCGTAAGTTTAAATAACTAAATGTGTACTTTCTATCTAATGGAATTACAGGTATTTATGTAAAGGTTCTCTGGAGAAAGTATACACTTCCAATAACTACCAAAAACTATGCTGCGTGAAATTCTTGAGCTTGGCTACACTTTGGGTTAGCCTGTGGTTTGGGTCAGTTATTTGTCATTGGTGTCAAATGACACACCCTAAGATTTTGCCTGGGTCGTTTCATCTTTCAGCAAAAGTGGGGAAAAAAATGTTTTTGTTGAAAGTAAACTCATTGATGGGGTGGCTCGGGTTATGTTTACTTGCCTCAGTCAAGTAGACAAAGGATTCAGACAGGCAGGTTCCATCTACACCTTCAACCAAACTTTTTTTCAGCACCCCATGACTCAAAGCCATCCTTAAAACTGTCAAAACAAAATTAATTTTAACTTATTGAATAAATAAACCTAAATAGCACTCTATGGAGTAAAGCAGAAGGTGTCACAAAATTGAAACGAATCAAAGGGCTTCACAGTTGCCAGTAATGGACGCCCCCATTCCAGCACTGGAAATTGCACTGTATTCTGTTATGGGAAGACATGGACTAGGATGTAAAACATTCTGTGGTCAAGAAACAGATTTGTGTTTCTTTCCCTCCCAGGAACTATCTCACTGCCAGTGTTTGGAATCTGCTTGGTAACTTCTCAGAGGGACTTCCCCCAAATTTCATAATTTATCAACTTCAAATGCAATCGCTTTAAGTAAGGTTAAAAAGTGGAGTAGGCATTTCCAACTATTGGCTTGATTTGCAGTTCTAAGTGAACTGCATGTCTTCAAAATACCTTGAAGTCCTCTACCAGTGATTTAAGATCTTATTGTATCTGCCTGCTTCTTCCCTCTCATTATTTCCTTTGCATTAATCTATCCCTCTTACTTTCTAAACCACCTCTCTTCCTTTTATTCCATTGCCCATTTTCTTCCTAATGTATGTTTTCAGTGAAGTGCTGAAGCTGCTTCATTCTGGCTTGTAAGTGAAATGTTAAATTTGCAGTAATTTTGTTGGTAGATTGTTAAATATGTTGGTAGCTTGAAAATGACCACGGTTCATGGATTTACACCACTGGAATCTGAAAATGCTATAAATCAATCCTTTTTTTTTTTTTTTTTTTTTTGAGAACTGGTTGTTAAACATTTACCAACACACTACTGGGTGTTTTCCTGCCCTTTTTACCCAGAGATGATTCTCTTGCCTCTTCCTACCATCTCTTCATGATGGTCCATCTTCTTTTTTTGCACTTGCCATTTTTCTTTTCCTCCTCTATAAATCCTTAAATAAAATATTCACGAAGCCAAGAAGTAGAGTACCTAATCCTTCTTTTTAAACTGCATTTTTAGAGATAAGCATCAGGTAATCATTGGAGATGAAAATCACCTTATGCTCATAATAAATGCAAGAAATGAAGGGGAAGGAGCATATGAAGCTGAACTCTTTGTAATGATACCAGAAGAGGCAGATTATGTTGGAATCGAACGCAACAACAAGGTAATGCCTGCAAATTGTTTGAAGTCAAGAGCTAGGTATATTTTTGAAGTCAAGTAAATGTTAAGAAGGGCCATCTTAGCTGAGAGTTTCTTCCTTAATGAAAGACAGCAAAATGATACCTTCTTTTGTTAAATCATAACAGCAATGAGCCACAAAGCAGGGGTGGGCTTACACAGTATTAATGTCTTTCTTTGCCACAGTGCAAAGATAGATTGGCCAAAGATTGAGAGCTAAAGCAAAAAAGAGAACAAGACTGGCTGAAAGAAGAAGCTTACCAATGCGATCAAAAAGCTAAACTCCCAAGCTAACTCCCTGTCTTCACTGACTTTTCTAGCCTTGCACTGAGTTCCTATCAGTTTCAAGCACATGTCAGGAAGCCTGGTTTTCGTTATTGGTTAGGGAAGAAGGTCCAGCCAATCCCTGATGAGCACTGATAAAAGCCTGGACCGACACAGGAAGGGAAACAAGGTCCTTTCCCTTTCTTCTTGGTCCACCTTGTCAGAATTATGACCAGGAACAGCCTGGTCTTCCTCATTTGCCATTCCTCAATGCCACTATTTGTTTAAATGACAACAATGCTATTTATAGTCTTCCCCTTCCTTATCAGAACATGAATCTTCCCATTCAAAGCATCCTCCAGTTCTGCAGTGTCCTTAATCACTTGGTCTAGAAAACTATTAAAAATACATTGTAGAATAACAGAGAAAGTCCCTCAGTGTCTGAAATATACAAACTCACAATTAAGGGTAAAGCCCAAGTTTCACGTTTCCTTTCATAGGATGAGGTGTAGAGTAGGTGCTCCTTAAATACTTGCTGATAGCATTGTTCATTTAGCTTAAATGTATTAAATGTCTACTAGTTTCCAAATACCACACCCCCTGAGGACCTTGTCCATTTTAATGATTGAATAATGTAATGAAAAGTAATTCTTCTAAACAGATGTTAACAAACTGTTGTTGTGATGTTGGTATTTTAAAGGCATTAAAAAACTTAGGGAATATAAAATTCTCTATTCACACTTCTAGTCTCATGATTTTTGTTTGTTTTAGTTGAACGATCTTCTTAGTAAAAAACAAAAAATTAAAAAATCTAGATGGGTAATGATAGAGCATCTTTAACAGTCATTTAAAATCCTTGAGTATCTGTTGAAGAAATGTATAAGAAAAAAAAAACTCCAAAGTCATCAAATGTTATCCATTAAATATGTACTGCTGTTTTGTGTATGTCAGTCACATCTTAATAAAGTAGTTTTTAAAAAAATAGTCCTAAATTATTCTTAACTCTTCCATGTTGACAGTGAAGTTGGATAGAGGGGAAAAATAATTCCATTTCTTTTCAAGAGTATTTGCAAATCTCCACTCAGCTTTCATTTCCCTGTTATTTCAAACATGAAAATCAGTATAAACCCTAATTTCTCCAGTGAGTGGTTTATAATCATCCCATTTTCTTCTTTCTTGTATTTTTTTTTTTGAGACAGGGTCTTGCTCTGTTTCCCAGGATGGAGTGCAGCAGCGTGATCATAGCTCACTACAACCTCCGATTCCTGGGCTCAAGCAAAACCCTCATCTCAGCCTCCTGAGTAGCTAGGACTACGGGTGTGCACCACCATGCCTGGCTAATTTTTGTATTTTCTGTAGAGAGGGGGTTTTGCTATATGGCCCAGGCTGGTCTTGAACACCTGGGGTCAGGCGGTCCACCCACCTTGGCCTTCCAAAGCGCTGATATTATAGGCACGAGCCATCCTTGCCCCGCCAATTATGTGATTTTTTTTAATCCTCTTCATTTCTCTATTAAAGTCACTTTAAGATAAAAATAAATAAGAATAAAGGAAGTAATTATACACACAACTTATAAAAATGGTGTTTAATAACCACTTTGATTTGAAGATGTCATTTCATAATAAAATCTCTACAAGCAAAAACAGAAAGAAAAATGACGTCTACAAATACTTACCTGCAGATAACGCATAAACAAACACAAAAACAAAGCTTGAGTATGTTTTGTTTTTAATATTCCAGAGCTCCACTCATATTTTTATTTCAATTCCCTTCTTGTCACTCCACCCCTGACTTCACTAAACAAAGGACCTATTCTAAAATGTTCTTTTAGCAGAACATCCAGTTTACTGTTGGCTTTGTTGCATAGAAAACACAGGAGAGCACTTAGGAGTCTATCTTTGGCTGTAAACATTACAAGGGACATTATCTGCAATCTCAAATGATTCCTTCACTACTTTTTTCTCTGTCAATTTCCCTTTGGCAGAGACTTCACTCAGTCTTTGAATTTTACGTGACTAAGCCACATTCTAATTTCTTCCTTGTTTGGAAACAGTTTGAGGTTTGTGTACCTTTTGATTTCAACTCAGTTCAAGATTTTTTAACCATTTTTTCCTCAAGGGGAAAAATATTAGGCATTATCTGATTGTAAGGTTGGCTATTGTTTTGTTGAAAACATTCGTCTTTTTAGAAAATGTAAATGCTTATCATCTCTTGCTCTAGGAAACCTTAGTTGAGCCAGCCTTTATATTTCCTTTTGGTGATTTTTCTCCTTAATTTTTCTGTGAAAAAAGGTGTATATGTTTTATATTTATCATCATCATCATCATCATTATGATAGTAGTAAGATACATGTAAGATATAATTTATCATTTTAGCCATTTTCAAGTGCGCAGTTCAGTGACATTATATTTACGTGGTAGTGCAACCATCAGCACTGTCCATCTCCAGACCTTTTACATCATTCCAAACTGAACCTCTGCAACCCTTAAAAATAATTCCCCATTGCTCCCTCTCCCCAGGCCCTGGTAAGCACCATTCTACTTTCTGTCTCTGTGAACGATTCTAGGGACCTGTTATCATCTCTTGTTCAGTCTCTCACAGCCAGCTCGCCTTCAGCATGTCTGTATCCAGACTTTTGGTCTTCCCACTCACACCCCTCTTCCCTTCCATTTTCTTTTTTCTTTCCTTTTTTTTATGGAGTCTTGCTCTGTTGCCCAGGCTGGAGTGCAGAGGCATGATCTTGGCTCACTACAACCTCTGCCTCCTGGGTTCAAGTGATTCTCCTGCCTCAGCCTCCCGGGTAGCTGGGATTACAGGCGCCCACCACCACGCCTGACTAATTTTAGTATTTTTAGTAGAGATCAGTTTCACCATATTGGCTAGACTGGTCTTGAACTCCTGACCTCAAGTGATCCCCCAGCCTTGGCCTCCCAAAGTGCTGAGATTACAGGTGTGAGCCACCACATCCAGCTTCCCTTTCATTTTCTATGTACAAGAATGACATCAGCATCCCCTGGCTTCTAATACCTAAAGTGATGCCAGCCTGGATGAGGGTGATGACAGTAGCAGTTGGATGGAGAGAAGGATATGAACTAGAGAGATTGTGGACTGAGTCCATCCAACAGCCACTGTCACCACCTTCATCCAGGCTGCCATGATCTTTTGCCCAGATTATTGCAACAGTCTTCCTAGTTTGTCTTGCCAACTCCTTACCTCTAACCTAGAAAAAAATCCATCTTTCTAAATTACAAATCTGAGCATGGTACTGTCTTCAAATCCTCACTAGCTCCCCATTGCGTTGAGGATAAGATCCAAATCCGTCAGATAATGCATGAGACCCTTGATCATATCACCCCCACTCACCTCTTCAGCCTCATCGCTAAATGCTGACGCTTCCAGCTGGCTTGAGTTCCTTTTCCATTCCTGTAATGACACGGAGAGCTTGTTCCAGCCGTTTCTCCTCCCAACACACTAACTCTGCTCCCTCATCCTCTTTATCTATCCTACTTATTTTCAATTCTTTCTACTCATCCTTCAAATAATAATTGAGACTTAATAAAAATTGAGGCTTAATAATAGTTGAGACAATAATAATTGAGGTGGCTAACATTTACTGAACAACTGCTATGAACTGGGTAATTCTCTGAGTTCTTGAATGTATTTCATTCTTTTTTTTTTAATAGCATTAGGAGATATACCTAATGTAAATGATGAGTTAATGGGTGCAGCACACCAACATGGCGCATGTATACATATGTAACAAACCTGCACGTTGTGCACATGCACCCTAGAACTTAAAGTATAATAGTAATTTTAAAAAAGAATGTATTTCATTCTTATAACAGCCTTATAGAGAAGCTGCTGTCACTATCCCTGTTTTATAGGTAAGAATAAATTAAGTAACATGCGCAAGGTTATACAGCTATTATGTAGCCGAAGCAAGTTCAAACATCAACTGTTAGGTCCAGGCCCCTGTTTGTTTTGTTTTTTGGTTTTGTTTTGTTTTTTTGAGATGGTGTCTCACTCTGTCACCCAGGCCAGAGTGCAATGGCGCGATCTCAGCTCACTGCAACCTCTGTCTCCCAGGTTCAAGCGATTCTCCTGCCTCAGCCTCCCTAGTAGCTGGGATTACAGGCGCCAGCCACCATGCTCAGCTAATTTTTGTATTTTCAGTAGGGATGGGGTTTCACCATGTTGGCCAGACTGCTCTCAAACTGCTGACCTCAGGCGATCCACCTGCCTCGGCCTCCCAAAGTGCTGGGATTACAGATATCAGCCACCATGTCTGCTGGGCCCCTGTTCTTAACCACTGATATGCACTGCCCCCATCAGCTTAGATGCCACTTCCTCCAGGATGCCTTCTCTGATTGCTTGGATCTATGTGCAGGTCCTCCTTTGTCACTATTTATTTATCCTATCATAAAATTTCCCAACTCTGCTGCAATTGTGTGTTTCCACTGCTGTTATAATTGCTTAGAATTACTTGTTACGTTGTTAAAATAATTAAGAATTCAGTGAGGACAAGGGGTCTCATTTGTCAGGCCTGGTAAATAGTGGGTACACAGTTAATATTTTCAGTGAATGAAGAACACTCTAAGAGCTATAAATGGATTAGAACAAGAATGTCCCAGAAACTGCAGAGGAAAATAATCTAGAAATGTCCATAAAAAGTCATTGTTCCTCTTATTAACGAGAGGAAATAATGCCTAAAAAAAGAAAAAGGGTGGAGGGGATGTGAAAGGGAGAAAAAACTCTTTGAGTGATGTCAAAGAACTATTTCCAGAAAACTGGGGAAAAACTGTACATATAACTTTTAACCTTTAGGTGAGATTTAAAAAAAAAAATTTACTATAGAAACTAAATCCTTGAATGTAATTCAAGGGACATATGAGGACTTACGGAAGATTTTTCTGGGTTTTGTTCTTTCTGTTTTCATGACTGAGTTAATAATCCCAACACAAAGCATCTCTGTATGATTAGCGGTTAGTTATGGATCCTTAAGGAGCTGAAGACATACTAAACCTAACTTTGAGAAGAAAGAATATTACCACCTTTTTGAAAAGATGTTTTTTAGCTCATCCGACGTAACTAACTGTCTTTCAGGATATTTGAAGAGAGGATGTATTAAATTGTGCCTCCAAATATTAGTGATCCATTCCTTTCTCAATAACTAGGACAGATATTTCCATGTGTCTGTGTATCTGGGGATTCTGGGGGCAGGGTTTTATACTTGGTTGCATACTTGTCTGTTTCATTGTAGCCTTCTCTTTTACAAGAAAGTGTCAGCTGCCTCTACTCTGTTGTTCCTGAACCATCACTTACTTTGTGTCCAAGTTTGCTCTAGGCATTAGGACTAGAACAGACACAAAAACCTCTGCCTTCTTGAAGCTTATATTCTCAAAGTGTGTGGTTTACCTACAGAATTCTTTAGCTAGATGTCTGGGGAATGTTTCATGTTTTTTGCTTGGGTTTTCGGTTTGGGCTTTTGTTAATAAAATAGAAGGGAATGGAAGATCATTTCTGAAATTTTATATTATTCTCTTACCTAAAATTTCAATAGATAACAGACAAGGACAAAAAAACAAATAAAAAATAAAATAAAATTTCAATAGAGCTGACAGATGGATAAATGGTCATTATATTGAGAACCCTCTTCCGAACCTATCACAGGGACAGAAATTCCCCCCAAATTTGCTGTTTTATGAAAGTCCTCATATTGCAAGCTTACCTTTTGGAACAAAGGTGATGGATAATATATCGATGGCACATAACAAGTTAGACTGAAATAATGGAAAAATGTAAGTAGCTATGGCTGCATGCAGAGTGGGACCATAGGGTTTGCGGTATGGGAAAAGAATAGGGTAGAGAGTGAGGGGTGGGTTTCTGAGCAACTGGGAAAAGCATGCGGACATGAAGAGGAGCTGGAAGCCAAGGGCAACTGTTCCAGAACAAATCTGTATTTCCCCTCTCATCTGTTCAACCTTGAGAATTTGTCCAGTATATAGCTTCAAGAACCTCTTCTAACTTCAGTTTGTATGAACTCTACTTGGAATAGGATATAAGGGAAGGAAAGGAAATAGGAAGTACTGCTAAACATGAAGGTATTCTCTTTACATCTGAAATACTGAAGAACAGAAGAAAGTCGATTGCATGATCTCAAAACGGGACCATGGTGTATAGAAATTTGTGTTCAAGGCAATTATCTGGCAAATGGTCATTGAATCATATGATAATCTATACACATTATGATCATTTTGTTTTTGGAAGGCTTAATAGAATAAATTTATTTACTCATGTTTAATAATTTGTGATTTTCATGCCCTGAGTTTCACATTAATCTTAGTGAAGATATTGTCTAAGCTATTTATATAAATACTATATTATGCATTGTCTTCCTTAATGAAACACAATAAATATGCTTACCTACCCAACACATTTATTTCTAAAATTTAACTTTTACTTTTCTCTCTCCATTTTCTCTTCTGAGTTAAGGGTCATCAATTACTTTTTTTGCACTATCGCCCTCCTGGGTGTTTGAGATCCAGGGGAGCTCCCAGGCCCCCAGCATGGCTTTTGTGTCAGGATGTCATTTATCCTGCCCCCTAAACCCCCTGTTCTTTGCAATTGTAGGGATTTCGACCACTGAGCTGTGAGTACAAGATGGAAAATGTAACCAGGATGGTGGTGTGTGACCTTGGGAACCCTATGGTGTCTGGAACAAATGTAAGAGAGAACCAGAAATACTGACTGATTTCCTTCTAACTGGACTTCACAGGGAACAAATGGAAAGCTCTCCAGTTACCACTCAGCAACTCAGCACCTAGCAGCAACAACAAATTAGGCAGGAAATTGCCAGAGTAGTGGGATTTCACATTATAACCTACACAGAGTGAATCGTCTCAAGCTAAAAACACAGAAAGATGCATGCTCTTCTATGCTTTCTCTTTATACATTACTCTTGCCTGTCTTTTAGTTACAACAATTTTATACAGACTTTGTTTTTACTATAGATATTTTCTTTAAATACTTTTTCTTTGAATTCAAAAAGAAATGCAATGTAAGTTAAAGACTCTAAAAATAACCAAATTAGGACAAAGATTTTAGCAATGGCAATTAAAGGAAGGACATGACATTCAACAGTGACCATAGAATTCCCTTTTCAAGGGAGATTCAGGTACGTATTTGCATTTTAAAGATGCTGATAAGTCTTTCAGTTAATAAACCTTTTAGCCTGATGTTTCATACTTTTGCTTGAGCATTTGAAACTTTTCTCAAGTTAGAATATTATGCTAGAATGATATTTTTGCTCTTTTATGCTATAATGTTGCGTTGATCTTGGGTATTCAAAAATGTGCTGAAACTACAGTAAGCTCACTTCTTGGGGCAAAAATAAATAAATATTTCAATGGCAAGTACATTCCCATGACATATTATTATTGGTTACCATGGATTGATTGTCCTCTAGGTTATAAACGCATCGCTGGGAGGAGGGGAGTTTTTTACGTTATTTTATTGAATTTTCAAAACAACCCTGTGAGTCAAGTATTTTCTTTATTTTATGGATGAGGAAACTGAAGCTCAGAGAAGTCAGATGAATTGGCCAAAGCCTCACAGAGGGTAAAGGTTAGAACAAGATTCAAACCAAGTCTTACAGCAAAGCCCATGTTCTATCCCGTCTGCAACATGGTGAAAAGCCCTTGGATAAAAAACAAATGAATAACAGATGAGACTTCAAAATGAAGCATTGAAAGAGAGAATGGGATGTTTACACTGAGATATTAGAACATTTTTCACTATCATAGTCCTTTTATCTGGAAGGTAATGAATCGTTTTGCTAGTTTTTTGAGAAAAATCCAACCGCCTATTTTATTTTATTTTGAGATGGAGTTTCACGCTTGTTGCCCAGGCTGAAGTGCAATGGCACGATCTTAGCTCACCGCAACCTCTGCCTCCCGGGTTCAAGTGATTCTCCTGCTCAGCCTCCCGAGTAGCTGAGATTACAGGTGCATGCCAACATGCCCGGCTAATTTTGTATTTTTAGTAGAGACGGGGGCCAGGCTGGTCTCGAACTCCTGGCCTCAGGTGATCCACCTGCCTTGGCCTCCGAAAGTGCTGGAATTACAGGTGTGTGCCACCGAGCCCAGCCTCAATGGCCTAATTTAATATGAAGAGGGTTACCTAAGACAAAAGAGAAATGAATTGAGGTGGTAGTAACAGTGTCAGCATCTGTAGATGATGGACCACTCGTTCCTTTTTCAGTATTAGAAGTGTTACAGCTAGACCAGAGGTCATCTAAGGATAATCTTGGAACAAAACTGGCCACCAGTATCATTCAAAGTGGAGGAAAAATGGCAGTGTGGTCTTAATCACAAATGTGTTTATGTGAAAGTATGTCAATTCATTTTGCCAGCAAATAGTCTTTAGAAGTCAGGGAAGTAAATTGTTTATATTCATTTATCTCTGAGGTCTATAGTAAAAGAAACCTAATAGCTTTCTTATCTCATTCTTTAGTGCCCTTAAACACATCAAATTTTATTGCATTCTGTTTTGTTATAAAACACTTTGATTTATATTCTTCTTCATTTTGTACTCTACAAAGAATACTCTCAGTGGGTTGTGGTAAAATTCCAAATGGAAAAGCAGTGCTAAAGATTTTAAAAGCAACATAAATTGCCAGGAATGTTTAGTTCTATCTATTATCTTTTAAAAATCACTTTCAAGTGACTTGGTATTTTAACTTAAAAAAAATATTCAAGATAGTATTCAGAAGTTTTACTTCTGATTTTTAAATAGTAAAGTCATTTCCATAGAGTAGCTATAGTAATATAAGATGTTTACATGCCAATAAGATTCATAACAAGTTGCAAATTTTCTCATGGGAAAATTTTTTTAAACGGTGGGGTCAATAAGAGCGCTTTAAAATCAATGCCATGAGATCTGGTGTTTGGTACTAGTTAAGGACACATGCACCTCTTACCAGTATGAAATTGTCACACCTTCATTGGGTCTTTGTCCCATGCTTATTGTTCTATAATGAAAACCATCATTAGGTAGCCTCTATCGCAATACAATAAGGTTTCTATCACTGGAAATAAGCAAACAAGAACAAACTCTCATCATTCTTTTGGCATTTTTTTTGTTTTGTTTTGAGATGGAGTCTCATTCTATTGCCCTGGCTAGAGTGCAATGGCACAATCTCGGCTCACTGCAACCTCCACCTCCCAGGTTCAAGCGATTCTCCTGCCTCAGCCTCCGGAGTAGCTGGGATTACAGGCACTCACCACCACACTCAGCTAGTTTTTGTATTTTAGTAGAGATGGGGTTTCACCATGTTGGCCAGGCCGGTCTTGAACTCCTGACCTTGTGATCCACCCACCTCGGCCTCCCAAAGTGCTGGAATTAAAGGTGTGAGCCACCCTCACGCCCAGCCTGTTTTGGCAATTTTTATTGCACTGCTTCTATATGCCAGGTTCTAAGCTAGAGTCGGCAATATAAAGATAAAAACATACAACCTTCACTCAATAAGAAACTCAAAATTAGCAGTGTCATAAGTTGAGTGGTGGAAGAGTGGTAAAAAAGGAGACAGAGAATAAAAAGGAGAACAATTCTGCCTGGCCCAGCCCATAGAATCAGAGAATGTATTGCAGGAGATATCTCCTGTCCCAAGATTTCAGGCATGCGTTAGCAGTTCTTCAAGTAGAAAAGGCAAGAAAAAGCTAAAAGGCTTCTAAAAAGGAGAGAAGAGCCTGACAGAAAATTGCTCCTTTGGAATTTTTAAAAAAATTCATCCGGCCGGGCCCTTTGGCTCACACCTGTAACCCCAGCACTTGGGGAGGTCAAGGCGGGCGGATCATGAGGTCAGGAGTATGAGACCAGCCTGGCCAACAAGATGAAACCCCGTCTCTTCTAAAAATACAAAAAATTGCTGGGTGTGGTGGCACACACCCGTAATCCCAGCTACTCAGGAGGCTGAGGCAGGAGAATCACTTGAATCTGGGAGGTGGAGGTTGCAGTGAGCTGAGATTGTGCCACTGTACTTCAACCTGGGCAAGAGAGCAAGACTCTGTCTCAAAAAAAAAAAAAAAAAAAATCTTTGCTGGGGCGTAATGCCTTAGCATTAAATACTAGCTATACCAGCTGTGATACTTTGAGCAAGTCACACTGAAATGAGAAAACACCTACCTGTAGGACTGTTTGGAGCAATGAATGATATGACAAATGTAAAGCCATTCGGACAGTACGTAGCTCGAAGCACATTCGGCAAGGGCTGGTGAACTGGTGCTGCTGATTTATGACAAAAGAGATGATTTATTATTCGTTCATATTATTACTGATTCATGTGAATATGAGTTTTGGTTAATGGTTTGATTCTGATACTATAGTGGCTGTGATAACAGATTTGAAAGTTAGCTTGCAGGGATTTAAATTCTAGCTCTGTGATTTATTTGCAATGCACCTGGAGCAAGGTACTTCATCTCTCTAATCCTCAGGTTGCTGCTCAATTGTATAATGTCAGCAACAACAGCTCCTACCCCAGAGTGCTTTTTGGGATTACATGAGATCATGTGTGTAAGGCATAGTACAGTGCTTGGAAGAGTAAGTAACATAATATTACAGATGTGTTAACTATTATTTTTACTTCCTTATTTATATCATCATTGAATTTATTTTCCCCATGTTTTTATCTATTTCCACGTTATGAAAATAATAAAAGCAGTTTTAAAAATTTGGAAACCTTTAAAAGGAAAAAGTAATCCATGTAACTGTAACCTCAACTAGAACATATTATTCTGAAATGTTTTCCTATAGCGCATCCGCACTCCTGTACTGTAGAGGAATTTTTCGATTTGTAGACTTTTAAAACCAAAAACCATAGCTGACGTGCATTGCACATAAACATTGTAACCTTCACTCATTGTTGATTGTTATTACATTAGAAGCATTTTCCATATTGTTGCGTTGACTTCACAGCTATAATTTCAATGACTACATAAATGTCCATCAAACAGAAGCATCATAGTTTTCTAAGTCAATTTCTGGCCAGGTGTGGTGGTTCATGCTTGTAATCCCAGTACTTTGGGAGGCCAAGGCAGGAGAATTGCGTGAAATCAGGAGTTCAAGACCAGACTAGACTCTGTCTCTACGAATAACAAAAAAGTTAACCAGGTGTGGTGGTGTGCACCTGTGACCCTTGCTACTTGGGAGGCTAAGGAAGGAGGATCACTTGAGCCTGGGAAGTTGAGGCTGCAGTGAGCCATGCTCGCACTAATGCACTCCAGCCTGGGTGACGGAGCGAGACCCTGTCTCAATCAATCAATCAATCAATCAACCAATCAGTGTCTTCTCATATATTTGGATTATTTTCAATTTAACACACAAAAAGGTGGCAGGAGAAGAGGCAGTATAGGACTAAATGGAGAGAGAGAACCAACCTGTACTGTGACCTGAATCTTCTGGGGCCTGTAGTTCATTGCATGACTTCTCTTGGCTCTCAGCCACCTGGGGTAGAAGCAGAACAAAGGAAAGAGTTACAGTGATCCAGGGTGGGGTTTTGCAGGAATGACTTACAAAATATTTTTATGTTGTGTACAAGCTACTCTTGTGTGATTTTATTTTATTTTTTAGTATTCCCTGGGCCTCCGATTTGCAGTTCCACGTCTTGAGAAAACAAACATGAGCATTAACTTCGATCTCCAAATCAGAAGGTTAGACCTTTACATGCCTATATCGTTGACAGCAGTCAAAAGAAAAGAGATCCACAGTGAAATGATGTCATCTGTCAAGGCCCTTGGCCTTAAAAGCTCACCTGAAATTAGAACCCAGACTTTCACAGCCCATTTCTTCTTTGTTTTTCTCAATTGTTTCAGTAATTTCAACATTTTAGGGGTTTTGAAAAAGAGATTGAATTATACAGACCAAGTTATGAGATAGCAAAATTTTGTCCTGGGCACCCTCCCACCTGCTTTACTTCCACTTTTCCTCATTCCAAAGCACATGTCTTTCCCCACCCTAATTCCCATGCTCTCAGCTGGGCATCAGCTAGTCCCTGAGAACAAAGTCTGTGAAAGAAAAAGCATAGATTTTGCAATGGCCATCCTGAAGTCTCTTCAATTTTCAAGAATGAATGAATCTCTGATGGCTTACCTATGCGCACTGTGGCAGGATGCAGGTGAGATACTCCATTTTGAGGGCAAGCCCTTCTCTAGCAATGATAAGCAGAGCCATATAGGTAGCTGCCTCTCTTTTCTAAGGCTGATGCTGTTTGAGAATTCAGCTGTAACTTTACCCTCTTACCACCTATTCTGTCTGCTCCTTTGTGGCTGAAAATAATATTTCGTGAACAGGAAGACCTGAAGAAAGTAGTAGTGTGGCATTTGGGCTGGGGCTTCCCAGCTGTGAACTTAAACCCATTGGCTGGGTAATGGAATCAGTTTAATGGCTCTAGATCCACATTAAAAGGAAATTGAATGGAAAGTAACATATAATATAATATAATATAATATAATATAATATAATATAATATATATTAATACAGCTCATGAAATATTCCTTTCAGTAAGTATAAATATGTGTAGTAAGATGTCTAGTGAGATGTATGTATTTTTTGTGGTCTGCAGCTTAAAAAGTTTGAAAATCTCTGATGTAAACAGGACATGAAAGCCTTCTATATTTATTTATACCTTGCCTGGCATGTTGAACCCTTGCTCTAACTATTAAATGAATATGAAGTCAGTATCCACAATTTGAGTCTCAAATACTAGTGTGCAAGATGGTTAATTTCTAAGTTTATCTTAATATCTTGCAAGAAGTACCATTAGAGTGTGATAACTTTTAGAATAATGACTCCATGCAATGGATTAATTTTTAAATAGCTACTTCAATAAAAGGCTTAGGATTTTTTAAAAATATATAAACTCTGTAAGAATGTAGCAGATTTTAAAAATCCACAACCCATGTCACAAATTATTCTCCCACCCCAAACTTTGTATAGATTTCTAGAGAGGAAGGTTTTCTCAACTTACTTGAGCTGTTCATTTCTGACCTTAATGAAATCTTTCTTGAATTTAACTTAGACATTTTCTGCTGAATTTTAGGTTCTTAAAATCTGGATAAAATTTAGTGATGGGATACAGATGGAATAAATTCTTCTGTAATATTCCTTCATTTTACCAAAAGCATGTTAAATCATTTCTTTGTATCTGTAAAAATATATCAAAGGTTTAGGTAGCCCTAAATATTTTTATTTTGGAAATCTTCTGTTGATATTTCTAAGTATCTTAAGAAAAAAAACAAAAACAAACAAAACACGTCATGGCAAAGGACCACCATCCCTCCAGACAGTAACCTGAAGTTTCTATTCCTCTGCATCATTGTCTGTGCCATTGATCCTCCAGTGACATGAAGCTTTGTGTCACCTGTGGAAAGATACATCTCTCATAAAATACACAACCTTTATATAGAAAAGAAGTCTGGTACAAAGCAAATTCATTGATATTTCCTCCTCGCTCTTGGTTGAAGTTACAAAAGAGAATGGATGCAATTACTAGTTCATCTAAGAAGCAAAAGACACAAGGTAGTGTTCTAGATGGCTTCCCCGAGTCCATCCTGTAGATCATCATTGAAATAATGAATTCAGTAATGAAGTGCCGAATTTGCTGTAAAGTAGAAGTGGCCACGTTTTTAACATTCCCCTTCATCTAAAACAAAGGGTCATGACTGATTACATTCCATTTCTACTCAGGACTATTTTAACATTACCCTTAAAAAATATAAAGATGCAGAAATGCAGAAAGAACTGGAATATACATACAGCATTAAATTCCCAAAACATGTATTATACATATAAAAGCAAGAATACAGTGTTTGAGGCTGGGCACAGTGGCTCACGCCTGTAATCCCAGCATTTTGGGAGTCCGAGGTGGGTGGATCACTTGAGGTCAGGAGTTCGAGACCAGCCTAGCCAACATGGTGAAACCTTTTCTCTACTAAAAGTACAAAAATTAGCTGGGTGTGGTGGTGCACGCCTGTAGTCCCAGCTTCTCTGGAGGCTGAGGCAGGGGAATCACTTGAACCTGGCAGGCAGAGGTTGCAGCGAGTCAAGATTGCGCCACTGCACTCCAGTCAGGGTGATAGAGTGAGACCCCATCTCAAAAAAAAAAAAAAAATACAGCGTTTGAGTAAAACACTGTAAAAACTCAATTACTAGGGTATTTGAGAGGTGAGCATTTATCTGCATGCTTTGCTGGCTGACTCCAAAGCTGTAAATAAGGATCTAAATGGATGGTTTTGCATTTGGTTTAAATGTGTTTAAGCCAAAAATAAATTAAACCAAATGTTCTGAAGTCTAAACTCTTACAGGCATATATTGACTGCCATGACCTGCATTTAATGAATCCCTTTTCCACAAATAGAAGTCAAGAGAGAAATGGGCTTTATATGTTAATAAACTTAAAATATTTCCTGTTACCAAATATTTGCATTAAGCGGTCTCTCCATGCCCTCACTCTACACGACATAAACATTTTCCTCCCTGTGTACAACGGGTCTCAGATTGCAATTGCCACATACAAACAGGTCTTGGTGACTGTCCTCAGAGTTTCTTCCTTAGTAATGGTGAGATGAATACTGTGTTATCTTTGCTGACATTCCAAAGACCACAGAAAGCATAGAGGGAATGTTAGAATGCAGGAAATAGGAAATAGTAAGGAAAAAGAAAATAGCATTGGAGTAATAAAGTGAAAAACATGTCTATCCATAGTATATAACATAGGGTGCAGTTGTAGAGAGGAAATTCATCATTCCTTGTGTAGAACCAGCACCAACAGTTTAAATAGTTCAGCTTCCATGGCGGTGATGGATGGCTTGTTTGGATGTAGCAGCGGTATTAGTGAGGGAGCTTTCCTTTCAGGAAAGAGGTCAAGGAAGCATCCAAGTTATTTCTCAAGCCTGGTTCCTTTCTTACAAGAGATATTGCTGACACCGCTAGTATGCAGTAGCAAGTGTCATGGCAAGTCTGTGTGACAAAAGATGATTTTGATTAGCCGACCAGAAGGTCTGGACTCAGAGTTTGCTGCTGTTCCTGCTGCATTTCAAAACAGCCTCTAAAAGCCTCATGTTAGATTGTTTTCAAGGATGATTTCAATGTTCAATGTCTATTTACATACTCAGAGTATTGTGGGTAATGAAAACTGTGTTATTGAAACCACTTGGGAAGAAAATACAATAGAATTATGCAATAACTTAAATGAAACTTTGTTTTTTCGTAATTCTAATTTCCACGGCTGCCAAGCAGTAGTGAACTAGAAATAGAAAAAAGTCTGGTTAATCTGTGGCACAAATATATTTAAATTTCCAAACTGAAGAATTACCCATAATATATTTGGAACCATAAAGTCTACAATAAGTAAAATTACTTAATTACTTCTTAATGGTTAGAATTCAGAACACTGCCTTAAAAACACACACACACATTTGTTTAGTTGACTGATCCCAGATGTGATCTTAATAAAATGGCCTGGAAACTGGGGTTCAGCCTCTGGTGAACAAGTCCCTTAAGCTCGGTCATGGGTTTAGTGGCGATGCTCCATTCCAGGAAATGAGCCTGACATTTGCCTGTTTATATCTTTTATGTGTGGTTGCAGTTTAAGTTGTCTTATCATTATATACAATCGGCCAGGACTTTTCAAAAGCATCATGGGAACAATTCTGCCGCCTCCTGCTTTGAAAGCAGAATTTTATCATATCCTTTCCAGCTCTCGCATTTGGAAAGCTTCAAAAGCTAGTCACAACCTACCGCATTACCATCATCTTGGTGCTAGAGCTTGTCCATCGAATCAGAGTGAGGTTTGATGATGAAAAAAGAGGAGGCCTTCTCTTCCTAATGACACCTGAATATAAACATGACCTGTTAGTGGTGATGTGGCTGTGTCTCGGTTTGCTAAAAGCTGCCTAAGTTTTTAGTGACTTCAGTAAAAGCATAATAGGATTATAAAATTCAGATGGAAGCTACCTCCAAAACTCAGTTACTGGTTGAGCCTCTTTGTGAAGTACGTTTTATTTTCCTTATAGCACACACATTTTGAAACCCATGCATTTTTAAAAGTTGTTTCATATCTAATTATATTTGCTGGAGAGAAAAAACCCCAGCAAACTTAAAAAATAATTTTGCCACTGTTCAAAGAAATGTTGTTAAACACACACCTTCTATCTAGACACTCTTAATGCATTTTGTAAATATCCATGTCATCTCCTAATTGCCTGTTTATGAACTGGCCAACTTCCTTGGGTCTATATTCAGGGTATTGTGGGTAATGAAAAGTGTGTTATTTAAACTGGTCTTTTAAAATACCCTCCAACTCCTTGTCCTAGTTAGCTGGTGAGTATGCAGTGAATATATGCTTATTTTAATACTAACTGAAGAAATAAACCGTTAGGAAGATGAAATTGCTGCCAAGCCAGTGCATGGTATGATGCATCCCAGAGCCAAACACAAATGCTGTTTCGATTATGTATTTCTCTGCATTATTCATGCCAGTTCTTCTCTTTATTAGCAAGGAAAATCAGGAGTTGGCTGTGTTGTTACTTCCTATTTAATGGGCAATGAACATGATATGCGCAGAGATGTTAAGGAATTTGTCAAAGGTAGAAGCTGCAAAATGAGCTCAGTTCAATACATTTTTGGTTTAGCCATTTAAAAAAGTGTTAGTTTTGGCTGGGCGGGGTGGCTCACGCCTGTAATCCCAGCACTTTGGGAGGCTGAGGTGGGCAGATCATGAGGTCAAGAGATAGAGACCATCCTGGCCAACATGGTGAAACCCCGTCTTTACTAAAAACACAAAAATTAGCTGGGTGTGGTGGCACACGCCTGTAGTCTCAGCTACTTGGGAGGCTGAGGCAGGAGAATCACTTGAATTGGGGAGGCAGAGGTTGCAGTGAGCTGATATTGGGCTACTGTACTCCAGCCTCGCAACAGAGGGAGACTCCGTCTCAAAAAAAAAAAAAAAGTGTTAGTTTCTTTAGATATCTATTGTATTTCCAGATAAAGTGTCTCTTCATAGACAGTTGTTACATTACTATTGATCATAAAAGATCTTAGCATTTCTCTGTACAAATGGTTACGATTTTGGAGAATGAATACACTTGTATCCTGAATGATCAGGTTAGTAACGTGTGTTCTCCTGTGATATGTAGAATGTTTTTTATGATCATA
The DNA here is from genome assembly GCF_000001405.40 of Homo sapiens. NCBI lineage: Eukaryota > Metazoa > Chordata > Mammalia > Primates > Hominidae > Homo > Homo sapiens. Next base: position 15,586,720 of record NC_000010.11, on the reverse strand, counting down.
TATTGTAATAATACTCCTGAGCAGATAGATTTAAATCACATGTCCTTGTGTTTTAGTTCCAACAAGGACAATCCAGACAGCAATTTTGTGAGCCTGCAAATCAACATCACTGCTGTAGCGCAGGTGGAAATAAGAGGGTAAGTAGTAAGCAATGCATAGTACAATATCCTTCTGTATGTAGAGTTAAGATAAAATACTAGTGAAAATGATGTGGAATTTTCCTGATGCATTAGAGATCACAGTTCATTTTGGATATTAATTTTCACTCTTTTCTACTGATCGTTATTAGCCTTCCATTGGAAAGCAGAGTAAACCCTAAATAACAATTAACTCCAAGAATATCAAAACAAGAAATCACTTTATGCCAGGCGCGGTGGCTCATGCCTATACTCCCAGCACTTTGGGAGGCCAAAGTGAGCAGATCACCTGAGGTCAGGAGTTTGAGACCAGCCTAGCCAACATCGTGAAACCCTGTCTCTCCTAAAAATACAAAAATTAGCCAGGCGTGGTTGTGGGTACCTGTAATCCCAGCTACTCAGGAGGCTGAGGCAGGAGAATCACTTGAACCCGGGAGGCAGAGGTTGCAGTGAGCCAAGATCGTGCCATTGCACTCCAGCCTGGGTGACAAGAGTGAAACTCCATCTCAAAAAAAAAAAAAAAAAAAAAAAAAATCACTTTATTCCCCAAATTGACAGTGCAGTAATCAAACTATAAAAACCAGCTGATAAGAAGCCAGATAAAATAGACAACCATGTGATTCCCTGAAAAAAAATCTCAATTCTCCAATAATTATTTTAGCGTAATGACTTTTTAGCCTTACCACACCACATCTGGAGTTTAATAAATGACTAACTCTCAGATGCAAGGGTCGATTGGATCTATATTTTACATCTTTTTTCTTTGGTCCTATTCTTTAAGGAAGGTGCCAATAAGCAATCAACTGAGAGACGGGGGAAAAGGGTCAAGGAAATGACTACCAGCTGCAAAATCCATGCCTGGGGGAAAAAGAAATCAGAAATGGGTTGTGTGTAGTTCTTATCTTGCATGAAATTGGACTTCATTGATTTTTTTCTGATGATTCTGGTTTTTCAGAACAATCATGGATTTGGCTAAAAATGTCAACTGGTATTTTGGACCAAGTTGTCACTGGGGTTCCAGAATGCTGGTTTCCTTCCTTTTCCACGGTGGTTTACAAGCTTCGATGATGACAGCTGGTATTTCAGCAGGCAGAGCCAGTGCTGCCATGGGTCCTGCCCTGCTGTCCTGGTGCCGCTGGGGCGCCCCCTAGCGGATTAGAGAATAATAGCAATGTCTAACATACACTGTTCCCTTCTGGGTGCTACTCCAAGTTAGCCCATCTTATAAATGAACTAGTATCCTCCTTGTACAGGTGAGGGAATTGCGGCACAAGGAGTTGAAGGTTAAACTAGAAAATGCCAGAATGTAAATATAGGCAACTGTCTCCAGAGCTCATGCTCAGAAATGATCATGCTATCCTGCCTGGGATATAGTTTTTTGAAACTTATCTACATAAAATCGTATTTTATGTATGTTTCTAATTTTTTTCCATTCAAACCAATGTTTTTGAGATTCATTTTAGTGCACGTGCCTGTAATTCACTCATGTCAACTGCCTGAGTGTTACACTGTAAAACTATACCATCGTTTATCTTATTTTACTTTGAGACTGGGTCTCACTCTGTCACCCAGGCTGATCTCGGCTCACTGCAACCTCCACCTCCTGGGTTCAAGTGATTCTCGGGCCTCAGCCTCCTCAGTAGCTGGGATTACAGGCATGCACCACGCCCGGCTAATTTTTGTATTTTTAGTAGAGACAGGGTTTCACCATGTTGGCCAGGCTGGTCTCAAACTCCTGACCTCAGGTGAATCTGCCTACCTCAGCCTCCCAAAGTGCTAGGATTATTACAGGCCTTAGCCACCATGCTCGGCCAAAATATACCATAATTTATTTATCTATTCTACTCTGGATGAAAATGCAGGGCTTTTATTATTTTCCTTTTTGCAATTGTTTTTTGTACATATCTTCCAGTACACAGGGGGAAGAATGTCAGCAGAGGATATACTTAGAAGTGGAAATTCAGGATCAGAGAGTATGCTCTATTTAACTTTACTACATAATATCAAACTCTTTTTCAAAATACTTATGCCAAATTACACTCCTGTGAGAAGTGGGTGAAGTTTCTGTTATCCCACACTATCAGCTAACTCTCAACATGATCTGGTTTTTGAGCCAGTCTGGTGGACAAGAAATGGTACCTTACTGAAGGTTTAACTTGCGGTCCCCTGATTCCTAAATGAGATTCAGCAGCTTTTTAATCTTTGTTGACTCTTTATTCTTCCTGTGCAGAGAAATTCTTGTTCAATTTTTTGCACATATTTCTTTTCTTTTCTTTTCTTTTCTTTTTCTTGACAGTCTCGCTGCATCACCCAGGCTGGAGTGCAGTGGCATGATCTCAGCTCACTGCAACCTCTCCCTCCAGGGTTCGAGTGATTCTCCTACCTCAGCCTCCCAAGTGGCTGAGATTACAGGCACCTGCTACCATGCCCAGCTAATTTTTGTATTTTTAATAGAGAAGGGGTTTCACCATGTTGGCCAGGCTGGTCTCGAACTCTGTACCTCAGGTGATCCACCTGCCTTGGTCTCCCAAAGTGCTGGGATTACAGGCATGAGCCATCACACCCAGCCTTTTTTACACATAGTGCTACTAAAAGAGTTGACTTTTTTTCATTAGTGTATAGAAATTCTTTTCTATTCTAGAGTTTAGTCACTAATCCTTTATCAGTTACAAAGATTACCAATATCTTTCAACAGTTTATGGAGTTTGTGGGGTTTTTGAAAAGTCAGATTTATTGGAATGTAAATTACATAAAGTAAAATTCATCCTTTTTAGGTGTCCAGTTGAAGAAGTTATGACATCAAAAGAACATACAATATAGAACAGTACCATCACTCCACATAGTTATTTTGGACTACTTTATAGCCAACCCTTCCCCACCCCGAGACCCTGGCAAGCTTGGCCTATTTTCTGTCACTATAGTTTTGCCTTTTTCCGGAATGATCTATAATGTTATGCAAGTCATTGGGAATGGTGCTGGCTTCTTCCACCTAACCTAACGCACTTGAGAAACATCTGTGTTCTTGAATGTATCAGTAGACAGTTTCTTTTTATATATATACTTTTTTATTATTATACTTTAAGTTCTGGGGTACCTGTGCAGAACGTGCAGGTTTGTTACATAGGTATACAAGTGCCATGATGGTTTGCTGCACTCATCAACCCATCATCTACATTAGGTATTTCTCCTAATGCTATCCCTTCCCTAGCCCCCCATCCCCCAGTAGGCCCCGCTGTGTGATGTTCCCCTCCCTGTTGTCCACGTGCTCTCATTGTTCAACTCCCACTTATGAGTGAGAACATGTGGTGTTTGGTTTTCTGTTCCTGTGTTAGTTTGCTGAGAATGATGGTTTCCAGTTTCATCCATGTCCCTGCAAAAGACATGAACTCATCCTTTTTTATGGCTGCATAGTATTCCACATTGTATATGTGCCACATTTTCTTTATCCAGTCTATCTGGATGGGCATTTCAGTTGGTTCCAAGTCTTTGCTATGATGGTTTCTTTTTACTGCTGAGAAGTATTCCATTGTATGGATGGATGTCCAGTGAATTGTTCATCCATTCACTCATTGGTGAACATTTGAATTGTCTCCAGTTTGAGCTATGAAGAATAAAGCTGCTATAAGTATTCATGTGCAGGTCTTTGTTGGAACATTTGTTTTCACAAATGGAATTACCGAGTTGTATGATATGTGTATGTTTATAAGAAACTGTGCAACTGTTTTCCAGAAAGGCTATACTGTTTCCATTCTTCATTCCCACCAACCATGCATGAGAGTTGCAGTCATGCACCATTTTTGCCAGCATGTGCTTTATGTTGGTTTGTATTTAGTCATTCTAGTAAGCCTATAGTGTTCCACTGAGTTTTTAGTTTTCATTTGCTTAATGACCAGTTACATTGGGCATCTTTTCAGTGCTTATTTGCCATCAATATCTCATTTTTGGTGAAGTATCCCTTCAAATCTTCTACCCATTTATTACTGGGTTTTCTGTCTCCTTATTATCGAGTTGTAGAAGTTCTTTATAAATTCTGTATACAAAGCCATTTACCAAATATGTGTCCCGCGATTATTTTCTCCCAGTCTATAGTTTGGTTTTATATTTCCTTAATAGTGATGTTCAAGAAGCAAAAGTTTGATGAAATCCAGTTGATTTTTTAATGTTTTGTGTTCTTTGTGTCCTAATTTGAAATAATACTGTTCCAAAGTCACAAAGATTTTCACCTGTATTTTCTTCTAGGAGTTGTATAATTTCAGCTTTTACACTTGGATCTATAATTATAAGCTAATTGTATCTGGTGTGAGGTGAGGGCCAAGGTTCTTTTTCTTCTTTTCTTCTTTTTTTTGAGACAGGGTCTCACTCTATCTCCCAGGCTGGAGTGCAGTGGCACAATCAAAGCTCACTGCAGCCTCCAACTCCTGAGCTCAAGTGATCCTCCCACCACAGCCTCCCAAGTAGCTGGGACTACTGGCATGCGCCACCATGCTGAGTTAATGTTTAAACGTTTTGTGGAGATGAGGTCCCACTGTGTTGCCCAAGCTGGTCTTGAACTCCTGGCCTCAAGCAATCTTCCTGCCTCACCCTCCCAAAGTGCTAGGATTACAGGCATGAGCCACCGTACCTGGCCCACTTTTACACATGAATACCTAGTGCCATTTGTTGAAAAAACCATTTTTCCCCCCACTGAATTACTTTGGCACCTTTGTTGAAAATCCATTATTATATGTGAGAGTCTATTTCTGGATTTGCTATTCTCTTCTATTGATGTATGTATGTATGTATGCACATCTTTCTAATCTATATAATAATAAGGCTTGAAATGTAGGAGTGTATCCTGAGATTTTGACAAATTCATTTGTAAATTCCAGTAGTTTTTTGTTTGCACATTTCCTAGTATCTTCTATAAAACTATGTTGTCTGCAAATAAAGACTTTTTTGTTATTTTCCCATCTGCATATGTAAAAGTTTATCCAATTATAAAGTTAGAGGGGACAGTCCCCACACGAGATTACCTGCCTTTTTCATGCCAACTGCAGATTCAGGTGATTCCCAAAACCACCCTCAGGGTCAAAACTTCAGTAGAAGTACACAGAACTCATTGAAAGCTATTACACTTACAGAGATTATTACAGGGAGAAGAGACATTAAAATCAGCCAAGGGAAGAAATACACACTGTGGAATCTGGAAAAGGACCAAACACAGGGTTTCCATCCTTCTCCCCTGTGGAGTTAAGGGATGTTACTTTTCTGCTATTGACATGTGATAATAGGCTTGGAGTATCACCTACCAGGGAAGCTCACCCAAGCCTCAGTGGTCAGAGTTTTTACTGGGGTTCTATGACATAGGCATGATTGATCATCTGCCCATGTAATTGATCTCAGTCTCCAAGTTGATTGATATGATGTGACCAAAGCTTCCACTCTATATCACATTGTTGGTCTTTCTGGTATTAACAACCCCTACTCTAAATCATAGTGTTAGGATATCCATTGTGATTCAAGGCCCCAGGCAAACAAAGATATTCCTATCAGGCATAAAATTCCAAGAGCTTACTCATTACCCCCCAGAAGCTGAGGGCAAAGGCCAGACCTCTTCTTGGACAAGGTTAAATTATTTGTTACATACTTATGCCTTTCATTTTTTTTCTTCCCTTATTGCATAGACTAGAACCACCAGTGCATGATCAATAGAAGCGGTAAAAAGAGACATCCTTGCCTTGTTCAATTTTACAAGAAAACCATTCAGCCTTTTACTATCAAGTTTGATGCCAGCTGCAGGGATTTTGTGGACACCCTTTATCAAGTTGAGGATGTTCTATCTTATTTCTACTTAAGAATTTTTAACATGAATGTATGTTTAGTTTTTTTCAAATGCTTATTCTGTACATATGAAGATGATTAAATTGTTTTTCTTTTTTATTCATTAAAGTGGTGAATTGATTAATTTTTGGTTTTGAATTTTAAACCAATCTTGCATTCTGGAGAATAAACACATTTAGTGTTGATGATTATCCTTTTTAGATACTCTGGGATTCGACTTGCTAAAATTTTGTTAGTGACTTTTACATCTACGTTCGTAAGAAGTACTGATCTGTAGTTTTCCTTTCTCGCAATATCTTTTTCTGATTTGGGTATCAGGTGAATGCTAGCTCCGTAAAATGATCTGGAGGGTTTTGTGGGGATTTTTTTGTACGAAGGTTTTGAACAAGTCAACTTCATTCTTAGATGTAAGGCTATTTATAATATCTATTTCTATTTAAATGGGCTTTGGTAGTTTCTCATTAAAGGAATTTGTCTATTTCATCTAAGTTGTTACATGTATTGGCATAAAGTTGTTCACAATATTCTCTCATTGTCCTTTTAATAGTTGTAGGATTTCTAGTGATGCCTTCTCCATCATTCTTGATATTGGCAGTTTATATCTTCTCCTTTTCTCTTTTTTTTTTTTTTTTTTTTTACATTTTCTGATCAGTCTGGCTAGAGTTTAGTGATCTTTTCAAAGAATCTGCTTTTTGTTTTATTAATTTTTCTTTGTTTTCTTTATTTTTTCTTTCTTTTCTATTTTATTGGTTTCAGCTTTTCTTGTTATCCTTTCTCGTGCTCTCTTTGGATTTGACTTTCTCTCCCATTTCTACTTCTTCTGTGCAGAAATGTTATGCTTGACTGGAGATCTTTTTTTGTATATAAGCATTTAGTGCTATAAATTTAGCAGCATACCGAAATGTTTATAAGTTGGGTTTTTTTGTTATAACTCAGCTCAAAATATTTTCTAGTTTTCTTTGTGATTTCTTCCTTAGTCATGAGTTGACTCATGGGAAGTGACTTGTTTGATTTACAGATATTTGGAGCTAATCTCGATGTTTTATTTTTGTTGACTTCTAATTTCATTCTCCTATCTCTCTCGATGAGAAAATTGCTATTTTTAAAAATCAGAGAAAAAAACACAAGCATTATTTTCTACTATCTTATTTTTATATCTTTTCAAAATTTACAATTAATGTATATGAACTTTTGTCTCCTTCTTTAAGCTTAGTGTATCTTAGTTTTTCTAGCCAAAAATAAATTGAAACTGGTTCTTAATTCCAAAATAAATTTAAAACTGGGAAATGTTTCTATTTGTTAGGACATAACTAAATCCAAGACAGCTAATGGCTGAATATAACTGTCTTTATTCTCAATATCCATTTTATGAGATTAATATTTTCAATATTACTGTCATTACTTACAGTAAAAAAAGAAGGAAATTTCTATTCACTTTTGCCAATAATCAAAACAGATCATTAAAATTGGGTTTCTCATACGAAAGCAGCTACTTTAATAGCTAGATTAATGTCCAACAATTGACCACAGATTATTCTCTAAGACTGTGCTAAAATCCTTTTTAGCCATTTACATAGTAAAACTCTTTCCTGCAAATATGCAGCAAAACATTGGTTTCAATGTTTAATACATCAAAGAACAAACAGCTACTGTTTGAAAATCTTCCATGTTCCGTCTCCCGGAACTTTATTTTTGGTCCATGGTGTTTATTCTGATGTAATTTATCATGCATTATTTTAAGCAGTTTTTTATCTACTGTTTTTTATAATTAAAAAATAAACAAAAATGGATTCATTTATTTGGGTGGGAAAAAATACTGAGAATTGTTCCATTTCTTTCAAAGCTAGATAACATCATCTTTAAGCAGATTTGTATGCATTTTGTGGTACAAAGGATCAGTTTAGCACATGTCTGTGAGAAGTAAACTTGGCCACAAGAGACAGCACCACATACACTGAGTCCATGAAGAGTGGTAAGATTGCAGATTTTGTAAAATAATCAGGATTGAATGGGTATGTACTAAGAGAGACCACAAACATGAACAGCTGAGGTTTGCATAGGATACCATCCACAGCAGGTACAGTTAAGACTGTTCCATACAATACATGGTAGTCTTTGCTATTTGGGAATGATAGGGTTTGAAAACAAGGATTTGAAACAGGATTCACAGCACACTACCAAATCCTCAGATTTGAATTTCCTGATTGCGTATATACTTCAACTTACTGAAAACCTAATTCCTTTATTCCAGAGAAATGAAAACCAAAGTTCACACAAGAATCCCTACATTAATCTTAATAGCAGCTTTGTTAATAATGGCCAAAAATTGCAAACAACCCAAATGTCCTTTGATGGGTTGATAGTTAAACAAATCATGGTACATCCATCCCATAGAATATCACTCAACAATAAACAGGAATGAACAATTGACAGATGGACCTTCAGGGAAGTATGCAGAGTCAAAAAAGCCAATCCCAAAAGATTGCATCCTGTATGATTCCAATTATATAACATTCTTGAAATAACAGAATTATATAAATGAGGAACAGATTAGTGGTTGCCAAGAGATATGGAGGAGATAGGGACAGAGGGAAGTGGACGTTCCTGTAAAAGGGGATCTTCGTGGTGATAGAAGTGTTCTTGACTATGTCAATGACAATATTCTGGTTTTGATATTATATACAATATCACATTTTGGTTTTGCAAGCTGTTACCATTGGGGAAACCGCTAAATGGTACATGGAATCTCTCCAAGTTATTTCTTACAACTACATATGAATCTACAATTATCTCAAAATAAGGTTTAATTTTAAAAAAACTAATTCCTTGCTTCTCCCAAAATTCATTTCTCATGTTTATTGTTACCATTAACAGTACCCCAGTCTTCTTCTTATCTGAGGGTCTTACTGGGATAACGTTCTATCTTCCATCTTAGGACGGAAGGCTATGCAGTGAGGGTCGTAAGATGACCACACTGGCTGTTTATCCTAGGCAAATTAGTTCAATATATTCTGTGTTGCTTGCTTGATTTCTTCCTTCTTTCTAAAAAATTTACTTTGAAAACCATGAACACTGTTTCACTGATTTAGTTGAGATCTTTAGAGAACCATTGTTTACCATGGTTTCCCTGGATTTGAAGTAGTCTTCGGTGGGTAAATAACTGAATTTTGTGAGCCATGCTTTTTAAATGATTTTGACATGATGTTTTGATAGATTATATATTTCTTCATAGACTTCTATTTGATTTTTTGTTACAGAACTGTGCCAGGAAGTTTAAGTCGTCTTCACTAAATACCACTGCAGCTTAGGAGCCCCCATGGTGCATTTTATATTAGAAATAGAGTAGATGGTACTTAGGATCTGAGCTCTAGATCTCACCTGCAACTAACCCTCTACTCCTGTGTACAACAGTCTTCCTTTCATGTATAAAATGAAGGGTTTTGACGATATCATCTCCATAGTACTTGTCAAGATTCAAATACATATGATTCTATGATCCTAGGGAATTTATGGCCAGTCCTGTGGACTGATGACCATAAAAACAAAAGTTTTCAGAGAAAATGTGTTCAGCTTCTGTGCTATGTTTGTTCTCTATGCAAATAAATAAATAAATAAAAGTTTCCCTAGAACCTCACAATGGACAATGGATAGTGAACACGAACTCAACTCTCTGTTGCCAAGCTGAAAGCAAACGCCAGCTTTGGGTTTGGAGACTGTCAAGACTGGTATAGAAACCCAGGTTCTCTGGGCTTCTCTCTGATGACAGAAGCCTGTCATGATTTAATCAAACCAAGTCAGAAAAGGGAACATAGCATAATGACAAACCAATATAAACGCAGAAATGTCTGTGGTATCAGCCCAGCAAAGTTGTGCCCTGTTCTTCTTAACATTGCACAGTAAGGACATATGCAAAGAGCTATGCAATTTAGCAACATTTCTGTGGGTTGTCTGTTTTTAAAATGTACTCATTCCTAGAAAACAATGCAGCCAAATTAACTTTGACCAAAAGCATTTGAGATGTTTTCCGAACATTTGTGGTACACAAACCAAAGAGTTTATCATAATTTTCCAGATGAAGAAAGAGAGATATACAGAAATTAAATTACTTGCCCTAGAGTAAGAATATAACCCAATAAATTTTGCTAACATTTGAAGTTGCCAGAGGCCATGTTAATTATTGGATACCTTTAAAAGGGCCCTATGACATCTGATTGCCAAAAGAGATGTTTTCTGTTGAGGTTACTTTCAGTTGAAAGTCTACGAATTCTTTTAAAGACATGTTTTACCTAAAAACTGCTAGAAAACATTGGTTTGTTTTGAGGACTACCCTTCTTAAGATTTTATAAAAATAATAATTTAGTTTGTAATCAGCTTTTTATATAAAATAATGCCATGTGTTATATGTCATTTATCCAATGCTCATTTTCTAGGTGTACGTTGCAGGAAAAAATAATCATATGTCAAGTTAATATCCTACTCCTGGATTACACCATTTAACTCTCTGTCTCTCTCTCACACTTGAGATATCTATAAGACCACTCTATAACTCTATCACACTTTATTTTGTTCTGGCTCTGGGGCTGGCTTTCCCAGGAAGCCAAAGAAATATAGAAAGGAGGAATATACAATGACCACTCTTCCACTCTGATGCCTTCAACAAGAAACTATATTTCTTCATAACTGGACATTTAACACAACACACGGCATCCTAGACTTTTTTTTATCTGCAAAAAAGAATCCCATTTCTTGATATGACTTAAAGCAGGGATTAAATAACCCATACACACACACACACACACTCACACACACACACACACACACACGTTCTCACATGTGAAATAGATGGATGTATATATTTATATATGTATAAGTTTGGTTATTCATCTCAACTCAGGAACACTCTCCACTCTCTTCTTTAGTGCCCACGAGATGAGATGCTATAAAATAGTTGCCCTCTGGGCTGGAGAGCCTACACTAGCAGTTTCAGATCCTTCACTGTCACTGTAGTCATTCTACTGTACATCACTTTCAATATTTTTCCCTGTAGGGAGTATCTACTCAAATAAATTGAAAACCACTTTCTTCTGCTTCTGTTAGTATACTGTCCACTAGTAAAACATTCTTTACCTGGGCCATTGCTAACAATTAACAGGACATTTCATGTTTCAGAGTGTCACACCCTCCGCAGATTGTTCTGCCCATTCATAACTGGGAACCAGAAGAGGAGCCCCACAAAGAGGAGGAGGTTGGACCATTGGTGGAACATATTTATGAGGTAGCCATTGTCTGTGTTAAAGTTGTGTTAGGGGTTTATTCTTAAGCTCTGTGCAAATAAATTCTATGTAGCATTATTATCATTATCATTATTATTATTGAGACAGGATCTCGCTGTGTCTCCCAGGCTGGAGTGCAGTGGTGCAATCACAGCTCACTGCAGCCTCGACTTTCTGGGCTCAAACAATCCTCCCATCTCAGCTTCCTGAGTAGCTGGGACTACAGGTACACACCACCACACCTGGCTAATTTTTGTATTTTTTTCTAGAGACGGGGTTTTGCCATGTTGCCCAGGCTAGTCTCAAGCTCCTGAGCTCAAGTGATCCACCCACCTGAGCCACTCACAGTGCTATAACTACAGTAGATAGCATTTTAAAGGACATCAACCCAAGTTCCGAGCTGTATATACTGCCTAGGTTCATGCTGTTATGCTCTCATACTGCAGTGGGGTGTAGTGGGTGTTCGGTTGAGTAATACTGGATATAATCACTTGTTCCTTAGTAGGAAAGCCATTACATAGTGAAAACACTTTATCTTGTTACTATTGTTGTTGTCATTGTTGTTTTTAATTATTTCCATTTTTTTAAATATTTGGACAACCTAGACATAAAAATGGCTAGCTTCCTAGACATTACTTCATTTTTTCCTATATTTCAGATATGTTTATATCTTTTAAACTGAAGGTTACCCACTCATCTTTTAAACTGAATGTCACCAACTAGAAGGTACCAGACAGAAAACAATAAGAACTATTCATTATTGTGCTAAAAAAAAAATATATATATACATATATATAAAAGCGCCCGGGTGTGGTGGCTCACGCCTGTAATCCCAGCACTTCGGGAGGCCAAGGCAGGCGGATCATGAGGTCAAGAGATCAAGACCATCCTGGCCAACATGGTCAAACCCCATCCCTACTAAAAATACAAAAATTAGCTGGGCTTGGTGGCGTGAGCCTGTAGTCCCAGCTACTCGAAAGGCTGAGGGAGGAGAATCGCTTGAACCTGGGAGGCAGAGGTTGCAGTGAGCCGAGATCGTGCCACCGCACTCCAGCCTGGCGACAGAGTGAGACTCTGTCTCTAAAATGAAATAAAAGCACATATAATATATGAGATGGGTAGATGGTACATAGATAAAAATAATTTTACTTTTCATCCAAAGAACCCAAATTGGAAATGAATATCTTATTCTGAGATTTTTAAATAGTTCACTGATTAGTAAAATATTTTCCAGAAGTGAACCAGTGATGCATAAAAAGGAGCTGATGTTCTTTTCCCATTTCAGGCATTAAGTTGTGAACAGGGAGAGGATCTGTTGACCCATCACCTGAAACATTTAAGCTTTTTTCAGTTAGAAGCCAACATATATGGCTGGGCACAGTGGCTCAAGCCTGTAATCCCAGCACTTTAGGAAGCTGAGGTGGGAGAAGCACTTCAGGCCAGAAGCTCAAGACCAGCCTGGCCAACATAGCAAGGGCCAATCTCTAAAAATAAAAAAATAAACAAACATAAATAATTTTCTAAAAAGAAACCAACATATAGCAAAGGGTTAGTTTAGTAGTTATTCAGGTTTTTGTTTGGTTTTGCTCTGTTTTTGCTTTTGTTTTTTTTTTTAAATAAAGTCAATGCTAGCAGTAAAGAGTAGTTATTCCTATTCGTTTTCAAGGGACCAGGCAGGGAATTTTGGTAAAACCATGTTCCAAGGCGTTCTGTTTGAGGTTCCTTCTCGATTAATGCCTTCTGTTCCTTTCCTATGTAACTCATGCCTCTAATCTAGTAATTCTGACTATGACTTTCATCTTGAGCTACAAGGGACATGAATAACATCCTCTAAGATTAACAATAAAGCCTTTTCAAAAGTGATGAACTGTTTACAAACGTAGGGAAGATGCCTCAACTCCTGGGCAGCATCAGCATGAAACCCTCCATCATCCGCCCAACCTGTGGCCCAGATTCAGGAGCCTTGTCCAAAGCTGGATCAAAGCTTTGCCTTAAGCTCTTTTGATAGCAAAAGGATAACACAGTCACCAAGGCCACTCTGATTAAGAACCTCACTGGAAAAAAGAAAAAAAAAAAGCTGTCAAATAATTTAATAAAGCTGTGTGTCCTGGTTTCTGCTCAAGAATGGTGAAACTTTAAAGTTTGAAAATATATTCAGACCCAATCATTCTCAGGGCAGTCCTGCTTCAAATCTTAGCATAAATGTGGATCATGAAAGTTTAGGGTAGCTACTGGTAGTGCAAAAAGCAATCATCAAATATTGTGTACATTGCTAATCTCGTGACTCAAAATATACTATATCAATGGTTGCCAAGCTTCTTTGATAAGGTGAATTAAATAGGCCATCTAATAAGCAAAAGCAATTATCCATTGTTTTATAGATCACTGTAATTTTCAGAACTGAGAAAAAAAGAAAAAGAAGAAAATCCCTGCTGACTTTAAATTTTTAAAACACTGGAATAAATGTAAATGCACTTAGTGTTTTGGGCAAACAATTTTGTGTCCTCCAAGTATAGGATTCACGTGTTAAAAAATGTTCATCTCTTTATGAGATGTGGCCTTTCTTGCCTTGAGATCTGCTGATGGAAACAGAAGGAGCTCAGCTTTGAAACACGCACTCGAAATGAACTGTGGTGATCATGGGCCCGCCTTGGCACTTGATGGATGGACATTCTTCCAGAGGGTGAAAGAGAGTACATCACATATGGTTGCAATTGACAGTCAGTAGTCAAGAAAGCGGAGGCAGATTTCAATGTAAAGAGACAGTCACTAAGTTTTGAAGGCATAAAATCAAAATTAAAATTTCTAGCGCTATGATTAAATTAACATAAATTTAAAACCAGCATCACAGTTATCAGACAAGGGTAGTATGGTCTTCAACTGAGGAAATCCACTCTTAGAGCTTCACAGATTGAAGAGTTTTCTCTAAACACCAGCCCATGATGCTTTCAGAGTGCTTCTTGCCATATCGACTTTGAATTTTCTTATTTTCCATAGTCATAGTCCAGATGACTTAAAACCAATAATACATGCTTTCTAAAATGGGTATAGAGTATATGGAGTTTGATTTTATCTCTCTGCCTTCTGCTGGGTCATTAGATAACATGTCACTTGTTTACAGCTGCACAATATTGGACCAAGTACCATCAGTGACACCATCCTGGAGGTGGGCTGGCCTTTCTCTGCCCGGGATGAATTTCTTCTCTATATTTTCCATATTCAAACTCTGGGACCTCTGCAGTGCCAACCAAATCCTAATATCAATCCACAGGATATAAAGGTAGGAGTCTGGTCTAATCAGTGGCTTTGTTGATTTTATTTTTATGGTATGAAAAAAATACAAACTGGGCTTGTTTAAAAAAGAAGAGTGAAATCGTTTTAAGTTGCTTCAGTGATCATTGATCAGAACTTTTCATTTTATAGTTAAAACACCAAGCCTAATTTAAAATATCCCTTCTAGCAAATTTAAATTTCTTTTTGTTTTGTTGCTTATGGTGACTTGTCATTTATTTCACCCATTTTAATAGGCACCTTTTATTTTTGGCTCAATTAGCAGCACATCCAAACCAAAATCATAAATAGACATATCACATCTGGGAGAATTAGTATAAAATGCTATTTTTAAAGTCTTTTTGGTCTATTGCCAAATTTCGTAAGGATCTTTGCCAAAAGAGGCTCTTCCAGCTGCAGCCCATAGCAAGTGGTGAACCGTGGCAATTTGCCAAGGGCCATGAGAACTCCCAGAAAGGAATGTTCTGGACCCTATTCTTTAATTGAAGCTTAAAGCCTAGAGCCGTGCTTTTCAAACTTCCTCTGAATCACCTGGCTGTCTGTTAAAATGCAGGGGCTGGGGTTGGACCTGAGATTCTGCCTCTCTGCAAGCACCCACCTCCTGTGCCTGATGCCAGTCTGTGGGCCTGACTTTCACAAACAAGGAGTAAGGAGCTGATCCCATCCAGATTAACATCCAAATTTGGCTTTCATGTTTTTCTGTGAAAGAAAGAAATTAATTAGCATAAGCCCTTGAAAATGCCACATTTGTATAAAGAAAAACAAAAGACAACAACATCTTGTAGTCAGATATTGTCCTTAGGAGATAACTTCATGTAAGAACGAACGTTCTCCTAGTAGCTACCAGGACACAGTGTCTCTATTAAAAATGGCGCAGCGCAGGCTTCATGGAATACCCACGCCACCAGCCAAGACAGAGCAGGTCTGCCCCTACCTCAGCCAGTGACACTGGGTCATTGCTCATTCTGAAAGGCATTCTTTTTCAACCCAACATGCCTCCTATTCAAAGGGAAGACTAAAGGGGGTTCATTAGTAAAGGACTTATGAGACAACAGCCTCCTCCTTTATGTAGAAATTATACATAAGGCCACTTGTGTTACACAAGATTCTTTAAAATATTTCCTTCCTGGAATTTTTTTTTCTCATTTCCTCTTTGCTCTTCATTGAGATGATTTTAAATTCTTTAAGGACAGTAGCTTATTATAAAATAACATCTGCAAATGCAAATGTATAACATTTAAATAATTAACACTTTTACATATCCTGCATTGCATTTAACATGTACTTTCAGTCATAGATTCTTTGAGCACATGATTCTGCAGAGACCTCTAACTCTTTTTGAGTGTAATGTTTAGTTTATATCTGACACTATTTATATATGTTTGTATATATTATGTAACTGGTTTAATGTACACCATGTTGGTTGTGAGTTATTTGTTTTTTTGTGGCATACTGTGACTACGATAGTATTAATAGATGACTTGTCTTAAATGTTGACAGATTCTTGCAAACCAAGCCATAGTATATACTAAGCACCTGGTGTTCCCTACTCCCCACTTATTCTCTTTTTTTTTTTTTTTTTTTTTTTTGAGATGGAGTTTCGCTATTGTTGCCCAAGCTGGAGTGCAATGGCGCCATCTCGGCTCACTGCAACCTCCACTTCCTGTGTTCAAGCAATTCTCCTGCCTCAGCCTCCCAAGTAGCTGGGATTACAGGCGTGTACCACCACGTCTGACTAATTTTTTTGTATTTTTAGTAGAAACGGGGTTTCACCATGTTAGCCAGGCTGGTCTCGAACTCCTGACCTCAGGTGATCCGCCCACCTCGGCCTCCCAAAGTGCTGGGATTACAGGCGTGAGCCACTGCGCCCCGCCCCCACTTATTCTTTAATGTATGTGCTTGGAGTAAAATTCTGTCTGAGGCTAATACTTTTAAAAATGCAATTCAATTATGTTCATTTTCCTAAAACTTTCAATCTGTGGAAATTGAATATAAGATTTAAATACAATATAAAGTAATATCTCCCTTAAATAACTAATCATAGCAATTTGTGAATTTTTGAAATTCTAAATTCATAGAGAAGTTGAAATGTTATTACTTTCAGGTTCTCAAAGTACTGTCACCTATACTTAATAAATGCTCCAGAGAGTCTAAAGGAGCTTTTATTAATAGACATTAAAAAACAGATAATCAAGAGAGTTTACATTAGTGACTATAAATAATTGAGAGTACTGGAAATTATTCTCCTCTTATGATGCTAAATAATTTTTTGGTGAAGTTGCTATTAACTTACATGGCAATTTAATTTTTCCTAGAGAATGCAAACGTCATCTTTTCTTGATATGACTTGGACTTTAGTGAAAAACAAATAATCTCTTACCTGTTGTTGTCTTCAACAGAATAGATCTGAGAAATTTTTAATTTTAATAACCATTTTAAATTCAAATTAGCATGAAAATGAATTGCTGTTAAAAAAACAAAACTGTGCCATAGCCAGGCACAGCGATGTTTGTAGCTACTCGGAAGGCTGAGGTGGGAGGATCACGTAAGGCCAGGAGTTTGAGGTCAGCCTGGGCAACATAGCAAGACTTCATCTCTTTAAAAAAATTGTATAGTTAGTTTTATTTTTAGTAAGAAGCAGACAGAGGATGGGCTTACTAAAAGGAACAGGGAGGCAGCAGAAATAACATTTGTCAAGGCAAGAATTCAATTCCAGTATCCAATCTTACTCACCGGGGAAGTGAACTAAGCTTCAATTCCTGATTATTTGGTTCTACAGTTTCTTTACAAGAAGAGTGATCTAGATAGTAAGTGCCTCATAAAACAGCTGCATCTGTGAGTAGTTCATGTCTACACATTCTTCACCCTTTCTGAGGATGCTCCAGTCCCCACTGGACTAGCCCCCAAAATGTCCCAGGCCACCGTGGGCCTGTAAGAGAGGCGCTCTCTCCCCAGCTTTCTAAAGCTGAGGGATTGGCCATTTCCTTCCTACGTTTTCCTCTTTAATCATTCCATTGATTTTCTTTCAGCAAAATCCCTTTCCCTCGTGTTCAGATACACTTTGTAGTCAACGTCCCCTTTCCTTATGTGTTCTTAAGTTGCCCACTTCCCACTGGAAAAATGCTCTCTTCTTCGTTACCTCTCCCTGATCCCCACAGATCTCTAGGAAAACTTGTGAAAAATAAGCCAGACTTCCTAAGAAGCATTTTAGAGGTCACACACTCCAGGGATCCATTGCCACTAACTCTAAAGCCTTCACAACTTCCCAAATATGCCCTGAGAATCCCTGCAAGTTCCCACATACTTCCTAATTTTTCTCAGTTAAATCGATTTCCACCTAATGTAATGTGCTGAATGTAATGTACTTAACAAATGGATTTTCTTCTATTTTTTAAATTACTCATATGGCAGCAGTCCTGGACATTGTTATTTTCCTTACAAATACATACTTTGACGGCATCAAAGCCCTATTGAGGATTAAGTTGGGTTTTTGTGGACTGGCTTGAGAACTGAAACACCATTTAAAACATCATTTCTAAAGAGAAATGCATTCTGAATGCCAAACATCTAGCCTAAAACCTTCTGAAATACAACCGGTCTATAACCTGGATATGCACTCCAAATACAACATAACTCTGAAAGTCTTCTCACATAAGTCTCAGCATCTGATAAGACCCAAACAAGGTTCAGGTATTTTTTATCACAGTAGAAACTGGTTATAGTTTGGTTATCTCAGCAAGCTACCCTAATGTCCCCAAAGTTTCAGGAGGAGACACTGACTGCTTTTATAAGCTACCACTGGGATCATCCTGTAACCTGTGGCTGTTTAAAAAACAGTGGTGAAAAGTTCTCATCCACAACCATCTCACTTGTTGCCCAAACACAGAGCATTAGCAACTAAATTGGGATGGGGCAGGGGCAGACACACACAAATGCTTCTAGAAGTCAGTGAGTTCTTATTCTGAATATTTGTCTTGGACCAGGAGCATGGCTCGTGCCTATGATCCCAACTCTTTGGGAAGCTGAAGTGGGAGGATCACTTGAGGCCAGGAGTTTGAGAGCAGCCTGGACAACATAGCAAGACCCCATTTCTACAAAAAATAAAAATAAATTAGCCAGGCATGATGACACATGCCTGTAGTCCCTGGAGTCCCAGCTGCTCAGGAGACTGAGAAAGGAGAATTACTTGAACCCAGAAGTTGGAGGCTGCAGTGAGCTATGATCACACTACTGTACTCCAGCTTGGGCAACAGCATGACATCCTGCCTCTAAACAAATAAATAAATAAATACTTGCCTCATATCAGGGTTTATGGGATTCACTCAGCTTGGTTTGTTGACACTTTCAACCCTTAGGGCGTGAGGGAAGGTGGAATCAAGGGTGGGCAACAGCCTGGGGGCTGCAGGAGATCAGGAAGGGCTGGGTGAGCTGCACAACTGGTGTTTCCCCTGTGAATTGTCCCCAGGGCCCAACTGAGGTCAGCCTAGGGGCATGGAAGTGCCTTGAGGATGTCCCTTCCCACTTTCTCTTTTGCCTCCCAATGAAAATGTCTCTGCCTTTGAGTTCCTGTTTCTCCGGTGATAGTTTCTGCTTCATCAGGTTCAGTTGTGTTTTCTGTAAGTTTAGGGGCATAAGCAGATGCCCGGGAAGGGTCTCCCTCCAGGCTTCAGGGTCTAGGTCAGAGATAGAGGATTTTAACATGGCACCTTATTCACATCGTACCATCTACAACATTTTGAAATGTTCAACTGTCTGCAGCATCCAAAGCAATCCATTAGAGCTAATTTTTTTCCAGATCCTTCTTGGAATAAAATTTTAGAGTTGAGTGAAGTATTTCTCAACTAATCTAAAGCCAGTACAATAATTATTTCAAACTATCAATTTTCTTATTTGATGGGCTTTATCCTAGGGTTTGGAGAGTCCTGCACACAGACTGTTATCTTTAGATAAGATGAGGTTGAAAAAGTAAAACCTATTGAGGAGCCAAAAGTTTCATAATGAGTAAAGGATTTTTCTTTTTCTATTTTTTTCTTCTTTTTTTTTTTGAGATGGGGTCTTACTCTGTCAGTCAGTCTAGAGTTCAGTGGTGAAATCTCAGCTCACTGCAACCTTTGACCCCTGGGTTCAGGTCATTCTCCTGCCTCAACCTCCTGAGTAGCTAGGATTGGCACCCGCCACCACACCTGGATAGTTTTTGTATTTTTAGTAGAGATGGGTTTTCACCATGTTGGCCAGGCTGGTCTCGAACCCTTGACCTCAGGTGATCTGCCCTCCTCAGAGGCCGGGTGCAGTGGCTCACTCCTGTAATCCCAGCACTCCTCAGCCTCCCAGAGTGCTGGGATTACAGGAGTGAGCCACTGCACCCGGCCTCTTTTTTTTTCTTTTTTTAAGACAAGGTCTCACTCTGTTGCATGGGCTGGAGTGCAGTGGCACTATCTCTGCTCACTGCAACAACCTGTCTCCCAGGCTCAAGCAATCCTCCCATTTCAGTCTCCCAAGTAGCTGGGACTACAGGAATGTACCACCCACCTTGCTGATTTTTGTATTTATTTGTAGAGATGCGGTTTCACCATGTTGCCAAGGCTGGTCTCAAACTCCTGAGCTCAGGCAATTCACCCACCTCGACCTCCCAAAGTGCTGGGATTACAGGCATGAGCCACCATGCCCGGCCTAGGATTTTTCTTTAATTGGCAAGATTTTGTAATAGACAGCTAAGTGTGAGATGCAGAGGGAAAAGGCTTAGATGTGAAACCGTACCTAGGAGAGGAAGACCGATAAGATGCCCACATATAACCTATGTTAAGACTATGGAACACCATTTGGGGCCCAAGTTCAGGAAAATAATCCTGAGATAAAAGTGGCCTGAAAGACTCTATAGACTAAGAAGGGCTTAACATGAGAGAAAGCTGATGCTGTTTGTAAAAACTGCTGTGAGAGCCGTGGAAAGCTGGAGGTTGCCGCCGAGAATGTCTCCTGAACCAGACCAGTCCCATGGGAAGTCCAAATTACAACCAGATAGTACAAACATGGAAAGCGGAGACACAGAAACCGTCCGTTCTTTAGGAATGAGAGTTTTAGAGTTATGTTTTAGAATGAGTGGGCCCGCAGACAGTGGCTTGGCAAATTTGCATAGTTTTGTCTTATCCTTTAGGGTACTTTCTTCTTCCTAACTGCCTTCGTGTACTGGTTTTCCTTAATTCAGAATGCAGGCGCTCGTTACTTCCTAGCACAACAGTTCTTGACCTCTTTCCCTCTGTCTCTCACTCACGCGTGCGCACACACACACATACCCTTAAAAATCAAGACATATGGCTAGGCACAGTGGCTCATGCCTGTAATCCCAGCACTTTGGGAGGCCAAGGCAGGAGGATCACTTGAAGTCAGGAGTTCAAAACCAGCCTGGCAACCATGGCAAAACCCCATCTCTGCTAAAAGTACAAAAATTAGCTGGGCGTGGTGGTGGGTGCCTGCAATCCCAGCTACTCAGGAGGCTGAGGCAGGAGAATCGCTTGAACCCGGGAGACAGAGGTTGCAGAGAGCTGAGATCACGTCACTACACTCCAGTCTGAGTAACAGAGCAAGACTCTGTCTCAAAAAAAAAAAAAAAAAAAAAAAAAAAAAAAAAATCAGGACATGAAAGGAAGAAGATTATTTAGTATATCTTTACCATTAACTCCTGATTTCTTTGTGGAATCATTTTGACAGCCTTGACCACAGGAACCGTAATTTATGTCCTAGCTGAAGCATTATTTGATGGCTGTTACTTGCCCCTTCAATACTCGGCTGTCTTCTATAAACTCTCCTCCCAGAAAAAAACAGAACAAAACAAAACAAAACAAAAAAGAACTTAGCTGTTTATTATTTTAGAAGGTCTGATCAGGAAAACAGTAGTCAATTTTAATTTACTTCCTCTCCAATTGTGACGTACTAGTGACATCTATGGCTTGCCCCTGGACCTGGTCAGTCTGTCCTAGGTATGCTTCCTCTTTCTTATGGGAATGCTACCTGTGATAGAAGAATTGTATTTGCCTTTTTAAGAGTGCCTGAAGATCCAATTCTCGACCATCAAAAAGAATTACACAGTCTGAGATTTTTACCTTCTCTTTGAGATGGTCTTCAGGTTTGCACATATATTTTGGAATGTAAAAACACCATGTTCAAATACTAAGAAAGCATCAACATCACCAGTGGAGTGAGTAGATTCTTTTAGTTGTGCTTTGCATGAACTTTTCAGGAGGTTAAAAAAGTGGGGGTTTTCTTTCCCTACAAATCCTCAACATTCATGTCTTAAAGAAAATTACATGGTGGACTGCCCCCCAGGGCTTGTCTCCACTTCGGTTTAATTATAGGCAAAGTACATGAGAGTTGTCTGTTGTTTCTTGTGTGCTAGGAATACCTGAAATCCAAAAACAAATTACAAACAAGAAAAAGATAGTGTGCATTGCTTTTGTTTGGGTTCACAGGGCCCTTCATCTAATTTCACCCAACTCCTTTTTTCAAATGCCACATTTCCGACTGTACTGCACATCCTGGCTGCACAGTATCCCTTTAATCCATAAATTTAAACCTATGACACAGTGAAGAGTTTGGTAAAGAATGATGAAAATAGAAAATTCCTGTTGGGCTAAATTCTGAGTAGCAGCTGTAAAAAGAAACATGTTTACCAACAATTATTTCCTTATTGCAGAAAGAAGTCATTTTCATTTGTTCTACAGAAGACACTTTAGTGGTGACCACCAGCTTCTCCTAGCACTTAATGAATTGTCCTGGGAACTGTCTGCCTATCATGGATGCTAAGAGGCCAGCGTCCTCCACCCTCAGTGGAAAACCATGGCCTGTAGGTTCACTGTCAATTGTGAAAGAGGCTCCAAATGTTCATGTAGAAAATGGGCTTTAACTGTTGTTTAGATTTCTTGGGTAGCTTCTTCCTTTTTGTTTTGTTTTGTTTTTAAATAATTTCTGGAATGTCATTTCAGAAAGCTGGTTTGCAAGCTATTTGGAGATCTTTTGACTATGGTGTTTAAGAGTGGCATTCCTCTATTTGTAAAACTGTGTCACAAAAGAAAGAGATGTGTTCCATCAACCCCTGCCACGTGACACTGTCATTCTGTAGCTCAAAGTAAGCCCTGTGTTTTATTGAGAGACCACTTAAAATGTTTGTGAATGACAATTTACCCCAATAGGACATGTTCTTTATTTGTACACAAGATACATCTGATGAAACCACACCGGAAGTTAAAGAGTTTTCTTTGGGGTATTGGTTTTTGTTTTTTTTTTTTTTGGAGACAGCCTCACTCTGTCACCCAGGCTGCTAGAGTGCAGTGGCACTATCTTGGCTCATGGCAGCCTCTGCCTCCGAGGTTCAAGCACCTCTCCTGCCTCAGCATCCTGAGTAGCTGGGATTACAGGTGTGCACCACCACCAGCCTGGCTAATTTTTGTATTTTTGGTAGAAATGGGGTTTTGCCATGTTGGCCAGGCTGGTCTCGAACTCCTGGCCTCAAGTGATCTGCCTGCCTCGGCCTCCCAAAGTGCTGGGATTACCGGCGTGAGCCACCGCACCTGGCTGTTTGGGCTATTGTTTTAGCACCACCACTACTATTACTGCTTACTGCTAATAATAATAATAATAGGCTATATCTTGGGAATAAAGAGTCAGTCCCTTGTTTTTTATAGTGCCTCTTCTCTGTAGCTTGGTTAACCACAGAGTTAACCTCTGTAACATAATTGTCAATGACCTATAAAAAATTTACATGATTCATCTCAAAGCAAAATCTACATGTACACCCACATAGTATATGATAGAAAACATATGAGAGAATTTTAGCTAGTGATTTCCACAATTCTTAATTTTCTGTCTAAGCTCACTTTTTATCTGATACCATCAAAACTGTTCTATCAGATCCTCCATCACTGGGCATCTGTATTAGGCCATTCTTGCCTGGCTAGAAATACATAACACTGGGTAATTCACAAAGAAAAGAGGTTTAATTGGCTCACGGTTCTGCAGGCTGTACAAGAAGCATGGAGCTGGCAACTGCTTGGCTTCTGGGAGGCCTGAAGGAGCTTTTACTCATAGCAGAAGACAGAGTGGGGAGCAGGCACTTCACATGGTGAAAGCAGAACCAAGAGAGAGAGGGTGGGTGGGCAGGGAGTGCCACACACTTTTAAACAACTAGATCTCATATGAACTCAGAGTGGAAGCTCACTTAGCGCCAATGGGATGGCCCAAGCCATTCATGAGGGATCCACCCCCGTGACCCCAGCATCTCCCACCAGGCCCCACCTCCCACATTGGGAATTAAAACTCGACATGAGATTTGGGAGGACAAATATCCAAACCATAACAGCATCCTCGATCAACTGTGGGGCTTCCCCTCCTCCTCATTGTGCCAGGCTCTGCCATGGTTCTGGGATGTCCCAGGGCCCACAGTGCTGGGCTATCCAAGGCCTACCCTCCGGTCCATGCACTCCACCTCCCAGGGTTTCTGCCACTGGTCAACAACACCTCAAGCTACCCTGCCTCCAAGACATTCGACTCAACTTTCCTTTCTCCTCCAATTCAATCTCCTGTTTTTATGATGGTCTCACTTGTTCTCTTCAAGAAAATTTTTCTTCCCTGGTATAAATGCTTTCTCTGACACAGTTACCCCATCCCACTCTCAGGACTTCCTCTGGCCATACCTTCTTTCCTGCCAAGCCTGGACTCCATGATGAGTTACTTGAAACACGCTTTTACAAGCCCCCATAACCTCCTGTTTCTAATATCCTTCCAAGCCCCTGCCCTGAAAATCTCAGTCATGCACAGTCCCACAGCCTGGCTTCTCTACCCCATAGCCTGATGGCGCCATGACAGATTGATGTCGGGGCGCACGTTCACGGAGCCGCCAGCTTCGCAGGGGCATCTGCCATTGTGATGATAGCACCCTCCTCGTTGCCTTGTCTAAACCTTCACCACTCTCTCTGTCCTTCCTACGCAATAGCTCTATCATTACTATTAGGAATGATCCATTTCCCCATCCCAAACCCCTCCCCACCTGATAGGGTTAGGCTTTGTGCCCCCACACAAATCTCATCTTGAATTATAATCCCCATAATCCGCATGTGTCAAGAGAGAGACCAGGTGGAGGTAATTGGATCACGGGGGTGGTTTCAGCCATGCTTTTCTCGTGATAGTGAGTGAGTTCTCACGAGATTTGATGTTTTTATAAGTGTCTGGTATTTCCTCTCCTGTTCATTCTCCCTCCTGCCACCTTGTGAAGAAGGTACCTTGCTCCCCCTTCACCTTCTGCCATGATTGTAAGTTTCCTGAGGCCTCCCCAGCCAGGGAGAACTGTGAGTCAATTAAACCTCTTTCCTTTATAAATTACCCAGTCTTGGACAGTTCTTTATAGGGGTGTGTGAATGGACTAATACACCACCCCACCCTTCCACATGCCCCTAATCATCTCTCTTCCATCCTCAATTGCTTTCTAACACTTCCAGAGAAAGGAGGATTATTCCTCCAGCTCCATGAATTAACTTTGGTACATCAAGTATCTCCATTTCCCGTATCTTCAACTTCTTCCTCTCTCCTTGGACATTCCTTGGGTTCTATAAACTTTGTTAAATTTCTCCCATCTTCAAAACAAACAGTAAGTGCAGTAATTTGACTCTGTATTCTCTTCCAAGAACGGACCTCTTTCCCCTTCCATTTATAGCCAAGCTGTGCTTGCTATCTCTACTTTTTCATTTCTCATTTACTTTTTTTACAATTTTACATTTTTGTACATTGTTCATGATTTTTATGTTAAGAACGCTAAATGCTATCATAAGAATATATCAAGCAACATGTAAAAACATAAAGAAGAGCATTTTAAATAATAGTGTTACCACCTGTTTACTGTTATTTTTCCATTTATTTATGCATTAACTTATTTTTCCACATCCATAAACATTTTACATACATATATATATATATATATACATATATATATATATATATATATATAGCCAACAGATAAGGAGACTTGGCCAGGCACAGTGACTTACACCTGTAATCTCAATGTTTTGGGAGGCTGAGGCAGGAGGATCACTTGAGCCCAGGTGTTCAGGACCAGCCTTGGCAACATAGCAAGATGCTGTCTTTACAAAAATGAAATTCAGCAGGTGCAGCAGGATGTGCCTGTAGTCCTAGCTATTTGGGAGGCTAAAGCAGGAGGATCACTCTGCTGTAATGAGCTGCGATTGTACCCATTATGCTCCAGCCTGACCGACAGAGTGAGACCGTGTCTATAAAAATGAAAAATAAATAAATAAGGAGACCCTTTTAAAATCTACAACATTATTATCATACCTAAAAAGAAATAAGCAAAACTTCCTTAATATCATCGGATCTCCACTACTCTAACACTTTGAGGACTGCCCTTCCAGATTATTTCTATTTATAGATCTACAATGTCAGATACATCCATTTTTATTAAAAATACAATCTTACTACATTTGCTGTTGTAAACCTGTCTTTTCCCCTTACTAATATCTTGTATCTTTCTAAATTCCAATGGAGCTTCATGCCATCATTTTTAAAACCTGTCCAGTAGTATTCTGTATAAATAGATCATAACTTATTTAATCAGTAACCTGTATATGCCTACAAAGTGTTAAGCTACAGTTTTTCTTCTCTATTATAAATAGTGTTGCTACAAACATCAATATTTGTTTTCATGCCTTATTTGGGGGACAAGGCTCATCTTGTCTCTCAGCCGTAGGGAATTTACTATAAGAACAACAGAAGGATTTAATTTCATATCTTTTTAAATAATTATCCATTTGTTAAAATCCTTTCACTCTTGAGCTACTGCAGTTAAATTTCCACCTCCACCAATCTGTCCTCATAAAAGGACATCTGTAATTTTGTTCTTTTTTTCTTTTTATTTTTTTTAGAAGCAGGGCCTCACTCTGTTGCCCAGGCTGAGAATTCAGTGGCATGATCGTAGCTCACTGCAGTCTTGAACTCCTGGGCTTAGATGATCCTCCTGCTTCAGCCTCCCAAGTATCTGGGACTACAGGCTTGTCCCACCACATTGGCTATTTTTTTTTTAATTAGCAATGAGGTATCACTATGTTGCCCAGTCTGGTCTCAAACACCTGGCCTCAAGTCAAGATCCTCCTGACTCGGCCTCCCAAAGTGGTGAGATTACAGGCATAAGCCTGGCTCATAATATCTTTTTAAATTTAATTTTAAGTTTTGGGGTACCTGTGAAGGATGTGCACGTTTATTACATAGGTAAACATGTGCCATGGTGGTTTGCTGCACCTGTCAACCCATTACCTAGGTATTAAGCCCAACATGCATTAGCTATTTTTCCTCATGTTCTCCCTCCCCCCGCCCCCCTACCCTGACAGGCCCCAGTGTGTGATGTACCCCTCCCTGTGTCCATGTGTTCTCATTGTTCAACTCCCACTTATAAGTGAGAACATGCAGTGTTTGGTTTTTCTGTTCCTATGTTAGTTTGCTGAGGATAATGGCTTCCAGTTCCATCCACGTCCCTACAAAGGACATGACAAAATTGCCAAGTTCAGTGCATAAAGGTCTTCACCCTTCCTTACTTCTCTGCAGGATTTGGCATTCTTTGTCACTCTCTTATTTTTGCAGCTTTCTTTTCCTTGGGCTTGTATAAAAACGACACTTTCCTAGATTACCTCCTACATCTGATCTCCCTGCCTTAGCTTTCCTCTCCAGATTATCTTCATCTCTCTGTTTCCTGGGAGGCTCTAAGTGACTCTCTGCTTTGTGTTTTCCATTTTCTCATCTGGCAATGCAGACCAGCTGGCAGGCAGCTTAGGTACAGCTGGATAGGCACAGATGGGCCCCAGACCAAGCATGCAGAACATCAGAGGCTTGGCGAGTGTACCTGGGGCCATCGGGAACGAAGAGCAGGTTAGCATGCTGGAGTGAAGGACCTTGGGTTCTTGGTCAGAGAAGAGGCTGGAGAAACCGGCCAAGGCCAGCATGTGAGGACCTGTGTGTGCCATGCTAGGGAGTCTGGACTCCGTCCTTCTGTTTGTCTAGTAGGTTTTTCCAGGTTTTCATGACATACTGAGCACTCTCATTTCATCTTTTGTGATGCAGCCTACATCGGCCATGTAGAAATTTCTTTTCTTCATTCCATAGAGATGGGCATACTATTATTGCTCCTGTGACTACAAAGAGAAACTGTGTGAAAGAAATCATAATTCTCAAGGGTGGGAGTGGGGAACAGAAAATTAGGTCTTTGTATTCAGTGGGTCTAAAATAAAGAATGTTAATGCGATATTCTGTGTGATTTATTGGAATTCTCAAAATATTTATCCAGCCAGCAGATGGACCCAGCATGGAACCTGAGATAAAATAGTAAGTTCTAGGACATTTGCAAAACGAACTCAGGGCTGAAAACAGACTCCACTGCAGCACAGTGAACATGTAGCAGACTTTCGAAAAGTCATTTTTGTCAGGGCAGAATTTTCTCCTAAAGGAGTGCAGGAACGTGGGGTTCAGCCATGTGGATGTGGGGTCTTTGACCACATCAGGCTGTTTCCCCAAATGAGGTTGGCACCTCACTATTCTGTCACCTCAGGATTCATCTCCCCATACAGAACGTTCCTCAGTTTAACTGGCCCCACTCTACAATGAGAGGAAAGTAATGAGAGAAGGATGGCTCATGTCTGAAACGTCACTTGCATGTTTTCTATCCTTGTGGGGAAATGACTTCTGCTTCAAATCTTCTCCTTGCAAGATAAACTTCCCAGGAATGCATTCCCCATGCTTCGTGAATTCCTGTCATTGAAGAGTGGAAAAGCTTGTTCCTTGTGCGTGCAGGTCATGTCACTGTTAAACACACTGCTGGTAATCACAGGTCTGGATCCTCATGTGAATCATATTCCACTGAGAAAAAAAAATTGCCTAGAGTTCAAGGCTAAAGAAAATGTAGCAACTGTTCATGTGTTTTTAATGTGGTATCTCCCACTTTCTTTTTGCAGCCTGCTGCCTCCCCAGAGGACACCCCTGAGCTCAGCGCCTTTTTGCGAAACTCTACTATTCCTCATCTTGTCAGGAAGAGGGATGTACATGTGGTCGAATTCCACAGACAGAGCCCTGCAAAAATACTGGTGAGTTATCCCAGTGTGCATAGAACTGAGGGAAATGAGTGGCTTGGATAGAACCCTCAAATACAGATAGTTTTAACTTCAAGGATTGTTCTTGGTCTCCTTCAGTGCTCAGATATTCCTAACGTTTGGCAGTGTTTATCTCGAGAATGAAAAGCAACTTTTCTGTAAGAATTAAGGAGCACTTGCAATATAACCTTTTCACTTTTCTAAAGCTGCCATGGAGGCCACTTTGGAGAATAATGGTGAAAACATCAACTGTGACCTTCAATCCATTTCAGGAACATACACTTTCAGTTGTTAGTCCGTGCATAGATGCTGGGCTGTGGTAGTTTGAAGTGAGCATGGACCCTTGGAGTTCTGCACCTGTCCCAGAATCTCAGAGCTTCTGCTTATCTGGAAGAGGCAAGAATGGTGTGTTCAGGGCTGGGTATGGTGGCTCACACCTGTAATCCCAGCACTTTGGGAGGCCAAGGTGGGAGGATCCCTTGAGGCCAAGGGTTTGGGACCAGCCTGGGCAACATAGCAAGACCCAGCCTCTACTTTTTAAAAAAAGAATGCTGTGTTCAGGTTTCCTGGGCCAAAACCCCTGCTGAGTCTTAGCACTGGGGTCTGTGGCAGCTCAAGCCTGAGCTTAGTTAGCCCTTAGCAATACTATCTTCAGTGTTCATGAGTCAGCACTTTTTTTGTTTGTTCGGAGACAGAGTTTTGCTCTGTCACTCAGGCTGGAGTGCAGTGGTGCAATCTCAGCTCACTGCAACCTCTGCTTCTCGGGTTCAAGCAATCCTCCTGCCTCAGTCTCCCGAGTAGCTGGGGCTACAGGCACATGCCACCATGCCCAGCTAATTTTTGCATTTTTGTAGAGGTAAGGTTTCACTATGTTGGCCAGGCTGGTCTTGAACTCCTGACCTCAAGTGATCTGCCTGCCTCATCTTCCCAAAGTGCTGGGAGTATAGGCATGAGCCACCATGCCCGGTCAGAGTCAGCATTTTTGATTCTATTCTCCCACTCATCCTATTGCGGCAGCTTCTAGTGCTTTATGTTTTCATGTGAATATTCATCCTCTTCCCTGACCATGTGGCAAGGGCTCAAAGTGAATGTCAGGGTTTATCTGTGCTCTGTAGACCATGTCCATAAAAAGTAGGAAGCTGCATGCACATTCTCCAGCTATGCAGAAGTAATCAGAGATCACCTCAGAAGCTAATACCCTTCTCAAAAGCAAGCAAACAAGAGAAGTGGGGATGGTGAACAGGTACAAAATATAGTTAGATAGAATGAATAAGATCTATTGTTTGATAGCACAACAGAGTGGCTATAGTCAACAATTTATTGTACATTTAAAAATAACTAAAAGAGCATAATTGGAACATTTTGTAATGCAAAGAAATGAATGCTTGAGGTGCTGGTACCTCATTTACCCTGATGTGATCATTACACATTGTATGCCCATATCAAAATATCTCATAGACCCTATAAATATATACACCTATTACATAACCATAAAAATTACAATAGATATATAAAATAAGGATAAAGCAAGAAAACAAACATTCCGTGCTTGGGGCAGGGACAGGCTGGGAACACTGGGTCTGGTATGGGGGGCACAGACCAAGCACGTACTTCCTGCCCCATAGCTGCAGTTCAGAAGCTCAGTCCAAGATGCAGTGATTTGTGGTGACACTGAATCAAAGGCCACAGTGACAAGTCCAGGGTTATCCATCCAAAGCAGCAAGCCAAAGAGAGAGACCTGGCTGGGTATGGTGGCTCAGCCTATAATCCCGGCGCTTTGGGAGGCTGAGGTGGGCAGATCACCTGAGGTCAGGAGTTCCACACCAGCCTGGCCAACATGGTGAAACCCATCTCTACTAAAAATACAAAAAAAATTATCTGGGCGTGGTGGCAGGCGCCTGTAATCCCAGCTACTCAGGAGACTGAGGCAGGAGAATCGCTTGAACTAGGGAGGTGGAGGTTGCAGTGAGTCGAGATCGTGCCACTGCACTCCAGCCTGGGAGACAGAGTGAGACTTGGTCTCAAAAAAAAAAAAAAAAAAAAAAAAAAGAGAGAGAGAGACCCTGGCAGAAGACCGCAGGGCAAATGAGTAATAAGAAAGGGAAGGTGTTGGGAGGCCGAGGTGGGCAGATCACGAGGTCAGGAGATCAAGACCATTCTGGTTAGCGTGGTGAAACCCCGTCTCTACTAAAAATACAAAAAAAATTATCCGGGCGTGGTGGTGGGTGCCTGTAGTCCCAGCTCCTCGGGAGGCTGAGGCAGGAGAATGGCGTGAACCCGGGAGGCGGAGCTTGCAGTGAGCCGAGATCGCGCCACTGCACTCCAGCCTGGGCAACAGAGCGAGACTCCGTCTCAAAAAAAAAAAAGGGAAGGTGGAGGTAGAAGTGGAAGAGACTGAACCAAGGAGGGTGCTAGAGTTCTTTCTACAGGGGCAGCAGTCACAGTCCTGGCTGGGTTGAAAGCCATTAGACACCTAACCTACCTATGCTGCTGACCCTCTCCAGACTGGGTTCATCCCGGAAACTGTGAATGGCTCCTAGACTTGTTGAGGTGCCACGGTGCACTGACCCAAGGGGGCATCCTCCCTCCTTCCCTGTCCGCAGTCCTGACAGCCCATTAGGGTAGGTGGCATGTTTTTTTTCTCAGTGTTGTTTTCTCAACATGTAGCATAATACCAGCTCATCTGTTGAACAAACATGTGAATGACACAGTGAGTGAACTCATCACAGACAGTATTAATAGCTTTTGGAATCATTGTCTAAAATGCTCCATGGTGTGCCCTTCTATGTGTTCTTAACCTACATGCTCTTAATCCTAAATCCAATTATAAGCCAATGATATATTGCAAGCCGTTTAAAAGATAGTGTTGGTAGTGACCAAATTCATTAGCCACCAGATCTGCTGAATTCAAGATAAAATGTTATGACATGAATAAATGAAATCAGCCATTTTTTATGACAATGTTCAAGGATGCTTTGGGGACTAGAACTGCTCCAGCCATTTATGAAACTGAAATAATTCACGGTAGCTATCACTGAAGAAAGGAAATCAGTGCTCAAGAAATTGAATCCCTGATTTTCTCATCTGTAGAACGGAAATCCATACGCTTGATTTACATAACTGAAAAATTAAAGTTTAAGAAAGGATTTGCAATTCCCCCTTTGCTTTCTCTCTCCCTCTCTGCCTTGCAAAAAAGGTTTTTGCTTTTCCTTCACCCTTTCCCCATGCTTGTAAGTTTCCTGAGGCCTCCCAGTCATGCTTCCTGTACAGCCTGTGGAACTGTGAGTCAATTAAACCTCTTTTCTTCATTAAAAAAAAAAGAAAGAAAGAAAGAAAGAAAGAAAGAAAGGATTTGCAAAGATAAAATGTAATGACAGTAGGAGGGAATGTTAACAATCAGTTGACCCTTCAACTAAAGTGGAAAATGCACTGGGTATAAATAGTCTTCTACTCTCTCAGCCAATTTAGTGGCATCTGTGGGACCTGGGTGCATGTGCATATGTGCAAGTGTGTGGGTGCACACATGGTGGGGAGGACAGACACAGAGTTCCAATACAGGAGACAAGACTCAGGAAGGATGATGCAAGGGGTGGATCTGGGCAGCCCTGAGGCAGCCATGAGACCATGGCTTCATGCCAGAGAGGCACTAGCCCAAAAGAATAGTGCATTATTTTTTGTAATCCATAGACTTAGGGTACAAGGAGCCAGATGAACAGCCCCTCCCCCCATAGGCTCTGCCTCTCCTGCAGTTCTGAACTCAGGGCAATTCATCAGGGGGTCCCGGTCGGAGTTATCAGATGATACAGAGAAGGCTCATGAGTTTTTAAGGAAAACAAATGGGTGGCAAGCAGGGAGCTGCGGAAGTCCTAAATTAACTTCCTTTCCATTCCTGCACTCCTGTATTTACCTGGAATTAACTATTTTTAAAAAACAAAAGCATGACAAAATATTTTAAAACTCTGATAATAATTTATTTCAGTCCAATAAAGTAGGATAACGCCATATTAAATTAATCATATTCCTGAAAATCCCAAATGTGTTACCCATCATATGGATAACTTTTTTTTTTTCTTGAGACAAGAGTTTCACTCTTGGTGCTCAGGCCAGAGTGCAATGGTGCCGTCTCAGCTCACTGCAACCTCCGCCTCCTGGGTTCAAGTGATTCTCCTGCCTCAGCCTCCTGAGTAGCTGGGATTACAGGTGCGTGCCACCACACCTGGCTAATTTTTTGTAAAGACAGGGTTTCAGCATGTTGGCCAGGCTGGTCTCAAACTCCTGACCTCAGCTGATCCACCTGCCTCAGCCTCCCAAAGTGCTGGGATTACAGGTGTGAGCCACCATGCCCAGCTGGATAACTTTTTTTAGTCATAGCCAAGAGCCCTCAAAGAGGATATTAGGATAAAAGACATGTAAACAAATCCTAGTTCTGTGTCTCATCGATGCAGAAGTTTTCAAGAGTTTTACTTTGGGATGATGAAAAAGCTTTGGAGTTGGATGGAGGTGATGGTGGTACAACATTGTGAACGTACTTAATGCCACCAAACTGCACACTTTAAAATGGTTAAAATGGCTTTAAAAGGTGTGCCTTAAACACTCCTTGACATTCATTTATTTCATCTTGACAGTAGAAAATGTTTGAACTATGGAAATGGACAGAAAAATATAATGAGCAAATCTCAATCAGTTAAACTTAAGTCAAATGAAGCATTTGTTATGATAGAAGTAGCTGAAGTTACTTTTTGAAGACAAAAAAAAAAAAAAAAAACTATGGCAACTGGAAGATTGTAATTCAAGTAAATTTTTTTTTTCTTGAGATAGAGTCTCGTTCTGTCGCCCAGGCTGGAGTGCGGTGGTGCAATCTCAGCTTACTGTAACCTCGGCCTCCCGGATTCAAGTGATCCTCCCACCTCAGTCTCCTGAGTAGCTGGAACTACAGGTGCCCACCACCATGCCCGGCTAATTTTTGTGTTTTTGGAAGAGATGGGGTTTCACCACATTGGCCACGCTGGTCTCAAACTCCTGACCTCAAGTGAACGTCCCACCTCGTCCTCCCAAAGTGCTGGGGTTATAGGTGTGAGCCACCGCACCCAGCCTCAAGTAAATTTTTATGACACTGTAATGTTTAAGAAACATAACAGTAGGGAATCCATATACTATTCCTTTTAGGATAAATTAATAAAGCTCTGCATGTTATCATTTTTAAAAAGCTTCCATGGTGTACAATAGAACAGAAAACAATTGATATCATTCTCAGCAAACTAACACGGAGAACAGAAAACCAAACACTGCATGTTCCCACTCATAAGTGGGAGTTGAACAGTGAGAACACATGGACACAGGGAGGGGAACATCACACACCGGGGCCTGCCCGGGGGTGAGGGGATAGGGGAGGGATAACATTAGGAGGAATATCTAATGTAGATGACGGGTTGATAGGTGCAGCAAACCACCATGGCACATGTATACCTATGTAACAAACCTGCACATTCTGTACATGTATCCCAGAATTTAAAGTATAATAAAAAAGAGACATCTACAGAATTCTAATATGCAGTACCAATGGGAAAAATCCCTCTGAAAAACCAATGTCCAAACATATGCAGTATTAATGATTTGAAAAATCAAAGTTAGACAGGGTGTAGTGTCTCATGCTTGTAATCCCAGCACTGTGGGAGGCCGAGGCGGGTGGATCACGAGGTCAGGAGATTTGAGACCATCCTGGCTAACATGGTGAAACCCCGTCTCTACTAAAAATACAAAAGAAAAAGCCAGGCCTGGTGGCGGACGCCTGTAGTCCCAGCTACTCCAGAGGCTGAGGCAGGAGAATGGCGTGAACCCGGGAGGCGGAGCTTGTAGTGCGCTGAGATGGCACCACTGCACTCCAGCCTGGGAGACGGAGCGAGACTCTGTCTCAAAAAAAAAAAGAAAGAAAAATCAAAGTTCAAGTATGTTTTTTAATTTCCACTTCAGGGTATGTCTCATTAGTACACTGAGACAGTCGAGATCAATAACGAAATTTTTTTTGAAAATTGTATGTATTTGCGTTGCAGGGTCCATTTTTTTCCTTCTATTGTTTCTCTTTAAATGTTGATGTAAGATAATTTTAAACTTCCGAATATCATAAAAACTCTCAGATGAAGGCCAAGGCAGTTCTTGATTTCCATATCTGGTTTTGTTAACACATATATTACTCTCTTTCTCTCTTACTGGTTCAAAAATTGCAAATCTTATGACCCCCTATGTCCTGGAGTCAAAACAACTCTGGATAGAAAGTGATTATGCGAAGTTTATTCTAAAATCAAAAGCGAAATAAGACCTCCTACGTTTTTTGTTTAGTTAAAAACAACTTACTGAATCCCATTTCTGATGAGGAATTTGAAAGTGCAAAATGCCAACATCCTGTGTTGGGATCAAAATTTCCAATTTGCACAGGAAAAATTTGTATCTAAAACACTGAAAAATAATTTCTCCTCCGCCTAAGAATACCCTTCCCTTTCTCATAGTGGGCCCCTGCTATTTCTGTAGCTATCACCTCCATCTCCTCCTCTCCAAACTTTCCTGTCTTCTGTTTCATTGCCCAGCTTCCAGCCACCTTGCCTTTCTTGATGCCTCTCCAGCATTTGATACTATTGGCCACTTCTTGAAACTATCACATTTCTGAAATTCCCCCGAAAACATCCCCTCCTGGTTCTCTTTCTGCCATTTGGATGGTCTCTTCTTAGAAATTCTCATCTAAGATTTCTCTCTGCCCATCCTTTCAATGCCCCTGTTCCCCAGGATTCCATCCCAGCCCCCTCCTCTTCTCTCTCATCCATTTAATTTTTTGCATGATCATATTTCCAGTAATTCCTAAGTGCCTCCTGTCATCTCAGCCCTCCCTTACTGAATTCAAGCCTTAAAGGCATGATCTGGGTGTCTGAGAGCCACGCCCGTCCTCGCATACCCAAAACCCTTGTCTCCATGACTTCTCAAATGTACCTCCTCTCTAGAATCCCCAGTCTCAGTGTTACCAGCACCCATCCACCCCATTCTTCTCCAAAGAGCATTCTCCATGTAACCTCTGTGTAGTCATCATGTCTCTATTCTATTTCCTAAACTTCTCCAAAATTTATCTTCCTCTCTCCATTTCCACTGCCTCAGTTCAGGGCCTCAGCATCACTCACCAGGGGCTCTTGCAACGGGCCCCTATCACCCTCCTGCCCCCCAATCTTCCCTCTCTCTTCTCTTTCCTCTCATATTACCCATCCCTCTAAAATACAAACCTGATCAATATCCCCTGGATATAAAAGCATCACAGGTTCTCCAGTGCCTTCTGAATAAAATCTAAACTCCTTAGCATGCATAGGAAGACTCTTCATATAGACTTTCTCTCATTGCTATCCTACTTCCATCTGTCCATTTCACCCTCATATACCCTGCTCTTCCCTTTCTCAAGCATGCCCTGGTCTAGTACAACAGAATCGTGGGCCAGGTCTCCCATTCTGCTAGGTGACCTCCCATTCATACCTTCATGGCTCATTCCAAACATTGTCTTCTCCAGAATCCTCTAGCAGAGCTGGCTATCTGGGTTCCCCATCTGCAAGGAGTCTACAACTCCTGACCTTGACACCCCTCTTCCCTCTGAAGGGCAGGGTTAGTGGTACACAGCATGTCAGCCGTGAAGCACAGGTCAACATGAGAGTCCTTGAAAGGGCCACAAACCACAGAGTTTTGAGAATTCCTGTTCCTGCTGTGGGTACCTGTATTGGTCCATTTTCACGCTGCTGATAAAGACATACCCGAGACTGGGTTATTTATAAAGAAAAAGAGGCTTAATGGGCTCACGATTCCACATGGCTAGGGAGTCCTCACAATCATGGTGAAAGGCAGAAGGCACATCTTACATGGTGGCAGGCAAGCAGAGAATGAGAGCCAAGCGAAAGAGGAAACCCCTTATAAAGCCATCAGATCTCGTGAGACTTATTCACTGCCATGAGAACAGTATGTGGGAAACCGTCCCCATGATCCAGTTATCCCTCACCAGGTCCCACCCACAACATGTGGGAGTCATGGAAGCTACAATTCAAGATGAGATTTGGGTGGGGACATAGCCAAACAACATCAGCACCTCAGCACCCAACTCTAGTAGCCCAAGGACAGTCCACCCACGTGCCTTTGGAAGCATCCTGTAGGAAATGAACTTCACCGCAATTTATCAGACAATATATTACTAACCCCTTTGCAGAGAATTCTGAGGATCTTGAAAAATGTTCTCGAAAAAGGTTCTTGTCGTAATATGTTCCTTGGATTATTCTGTGTTATATCAATTTCATTAAAGTGAAATGTCTCAGTCAACTACTTCACATAATATCCAATACATTGATTTTTATTGAGTACTCACAGGCCAATGTTGAGGGCTTGAGATATGAAAAATGAATACGCATGGGCCACAAGATAAATTTAAACCCATGATGGAGTACAATTAGAGAAGTATCATTCTGTGCATGGCACACAAAAAATGGATTATGATGTGTTCATTTATTTCCATGCTGGAATCTGATTAGAAAATCTGATTTGAGGCCAGGCATGGTGGTTCATGCCTGTAATCCCAACACCTTGGGAGGCCGAGGCGGGTGGATCACCTGAGGTCAGGAGTGCGAGACCAGCCTGGCCAACATGGTGAAACCCCATCTCTACTAAAAATACAAAAATTAGCCAGGCATGATGGCGGGTGCCTATAATCCCAGCTACTCAGGAGGCTGAGGCAAGAGAATCACTTGAACCCAGAAAGCAGAGGTTGCAGTGAGCTGAGGTCACACCATTGCACTCCAGCCTGGGCAAGAAGAGCAAAACTCTGTCTCAAAAAAAAAAAAAAAAAAAAAAAAAACAGAAAAGAAAAGAAAAAAGAAAGAAAATCTGATTTGATAGATAGAATGTCATTATAATGAATCCTTTTGAGGAACACACATTTCATATATTAAAGGTTATTCATTATACGCTGGGCAATTCTAGAAACCTATTAAAAAATAGCCTAATGAATGAAAGTCACAGAAAAGCCTCCTTTATAACCAGGAAATAATTTAGACAGAAGAACGTTATGGAACAAATGTATGTCAATCGGTCAGTAACTGTAGATCTTTGAGATAATATAGGCTCAAGAGTCTTCCTCTGCAACCCCTTCCAGACTTGCTGAACCCAGCACTGGGTATTGTGAATATCTATAAGCAATGCCTTCCCCAGTTCTGAGAAAATGAAACAGAACAATTAAATTGCTGCTGCAGAAAGATTCTCTTAAAGTCGTTCGAAAAGAGCTTAAATTTTATGTTGCATTTTGTGTTCCATTCATCCTCGCCATTAAACTGTGTTTTCTTGGTTGTTGCAATATATTGTTCTTTATTTACATTAATAATTTATCATAAGGTGATGACTTTTGAGGAAATGAAATGTAAATAAGCTAACTTCAGTGTTCAGTCTCTACCATGATTTAAAGACTCTGACGTGTTCCCACTGCTGTTTGCAGAATTGTACAAATATCGAGTGTTTACAAATCTCCTGTGCAGTGGGACGACTCGAAGGAGGAGAAAGCGCAGTCCTGAAAGTCAGGTCACGATTATGGGCCCACACCTTCCTCCAGGTAATAAACAACCACAGAAGCACATACACACTGCTCACTGGGAGCTGCTTCACAAAAGCTCAGTGGGAAGTCTTTTCATAGCGATTTCTAATTTAACACTGTGGAAGTCCGAGGCAGATGGATTACTTGAGGCCAGGAGCTCGAGACAAGCCTGGCCTACATGGTAAAAAACCCATCTCTACTAAAAATAGAAAAATTAGCTGGTCTTGGTGGTGAACACCAGTGGTCCCAGCTACTTGGGAGACTGAGGCATGAGAATCCCTTGAACCCAGGAGATAGAGGTTGCAGTGAGCCAAGATTGTGCCACTGCACTCCAGCCTGGGTGACAGAGTGAGACACTGCCTCAAAAAAAAAAATTAAAACTTGAATTTTAAACTTAAAAAAATTTTTTTTACATTTTTCAATGTAAAAGTTTCAAATTTAAAAAATTACTTCAAATAAAATGTATGTGGAGGAGTTGAACAAGATGAACTGGTCATTTTTCCCAGCAGGTAAAGACAGTTTAAACATCCTGAGTCCCTAAGACCTTGAGAATAGATCAGAAAATGTACTTAGTCCACTGTTATATACCCAGTGTTGGGCACAGTAACTATTAGTCAGTGGCAGCATGATGAGTATGAGAACATAATCCAAGATATATATGTCCAGAGAAGTTAAAATAGAAATCAATTTAGAAGGGAAAGGGGAGATTGTTCTAGAAGGTTCCTCTTGTCAAGTGGTCCTGCAGCATGGGCTCCAACCAGGACAGCACCTCAGCCAAGTTCCAGGTACGTGAGTATGATTTACAGATTATGCACCACTCCTGTGGTTGGCTCTGCATCCCACAATAGCCAGGGATCATTCCATTGATTTGTGCACTTTTTTTTGTTGTTGTTGCTTTTCTGAGATGGAGTCTTGCTCTGTTACCCAGCCTGGAGTGCAGTAGTGCGATCTTGACTCACTGCAACCTCTGCCTCCTGGGTTCAAGCAATTCTCCTGCCTCAGCCTCCCAAGTAGCTGGGACTACAGGCGTGGGCCACCATGCCCAGCTAATTTTTGTATTTTTAGTAGAGATGGGGTTTTGCCACATTGGCCAGGCTGGTCTCAAACTCCTGGCCTCGACTGATCCACGTGCTTCAGTCTCCCAAAGTGCTGGGATTACAAGCATGAGCCATTGCTCCTGGCCGACTATGGGCATTTTAAAAGTTTAAAATCTCTTTTATGCTAAGAAAATGAGAGTTTCATTTTGGAAAGCGCTATTTAAATGATACTGCTGTGTTACAACCTTATTGTTTGGGGAGGAATTTTTTTTTTAATCCTAAATTAACTCTTACCACGTCTACACATTCTTGCTCACATTTTAACTACTAAACAAACTCATTTGGTTTATTGTGCCATGAAAAATCAAAGGGTCAAATCCCTTTGAGTCTAGTTATAAATATAGAATTTTTTTATCCCTAGATTTTTATGTTTTCTATGATTTAATATGCTTCTACAGTCTCGTCAATCTTATTTTTGTTTTTAAAATAAAAACGAGGGAAATTAAAGTTTTGTTTTAAAGGTCATTGTGAAGCCATCTTCCTTTCTTCCTTTCCCTTCCCTTCCCTTCATTTCCCTTCCCCTCATTTCCCTTCCCTTTCCTTCCCTCCCTTTCTTCCCTTCCTTCTTTCCTTTCTTTATTTTTTCATTGCTTTTTCTGTGTCTCTTTTCTTTCTCTCTCTTTTCTTCCTTTTCTTTCTTTCATCTTCCTTCCTTCCTTTCTTACTTTATTTTCTTTCTTTCCTTCCTTTCCTTCCTTTCTCCTAAGGCAGAGTTTCTCAATCTCTGCACTATTAACGTTTTAGACCAGATCGCGCTGTGTTGCTGGGAGCCACCCTGGGCATTATAGGATACTTAGCAGCACCCCTGACCTCTACCTAGTAGGTGCTGGTAGCACCCTCACCCCAGGTGTGACAACCAAAATTCTCTCCAGATATTGCCAATGTCCTCAGGGGACAACATCATCCCATTTTGAACCACTGACCTAAGGAGAAGTACAGTGCCCAATTTATTTGACTTTTTAAAAAATCAAACCTTTACATATTCATTCACTCAACAAATATGTAGGGAGGACCTACTGTGTGCCAAGGGCTGCTTCAGGGTCTAGTTATAGGAGAAATAGCTGTGAACACAACAGACATAGCACCTGCCTTCACAGGGCTGTTATCTCAGTGGAGGGAATCAGAAACTGAGCAGGCAAACAGATGCATCAGTGCCGGGAAGAAAGTAGAATGGTGTAGGGAGATCAGGGCAGTGGGATAAATAGTAGGGAGTGCGGCTGCTTCTGCAGGTAGGATGGGCACAGGAGAGGCCTAGGAGGAGGTGCCATGGAACTGAGACCTGAGTCACGCAAAGACCTGTAGGCAGAGCCCCAGACAGAATACAACGAGCTGTGCAAAGGCCCTGAGGCCAGAACACTTTAGACATGTTTGAGGAACAAATGGAGACCAGTGTGTCAGTATCACCACTGATGAGACAGAAATTACAGGAATTACATACCATGGATGGGAGCCTGATTTTAGCCTAAGTGCAATGGACCACTACAAAATTAACCTAAGGAGTGATGTGATAATAATTACGTTTTTTAAAGAACACAAGTAAATAAATAAATTAATACATACTCTAACAAAGCAATACTACACAGTAATAAAAAGGAATGAATTAGACACATTGGCATGGATGAATCTCAGGCACACAATACTGAATTTTAAAGTCAATTATGATTCCATTTATAAAAAGCTAAAAAAAAAAACAGGCAAACTAAGCAGTAGGTTGGTAAAACTTTAAAGGAAAACAAGGAAATGAAAGTACAAATTCAGGAGAGTAGTAGCCTCTTAGGGTAGAAGACATTTAGCAAGAAACGAAGAGAATGTTTCAAAGGTACTTGTAATGGTTCATTAAAGTCAGCGGTAGGCATGTGGATATTCATCTTGGCTTCTTTATCATCATGTGTTATAAATGATTTATGTTTACTCAGCATCTAATAAAACAGCTTTGAAAGGGCAATATTGAAAGCACTGGGTTTGGAAGCTACTGCAATAGTCCAGAGGGAAATGGTGGTGGATTAATCTAGGGCAAAACAGTGGAGCAAGTGGAACAAGGTATGAGTCTGGATTGATTTTGGAGGAAAAACTAACAGTACTGGTTGAATTTATTGTTAGAGGATGAGAAAAAGAGAAGAATCAAGATGGACTCCAAGGTTTTTTGCCTAAGCCAAATGGTGAGGAAGACTTGGGGGAACACTGTTTCAGGAGAGGAAACCAAGAGTTCTGTTCTGAACCCTGTATTAGTTATCTATTGGTGCATAACAAATTTCCCCAAAACCTAGCAGCTTAAAACCGTAGACATTCATCCTGTCACTCTGAGTCAGGAATCTGGCTATGGTTTAGCTGGGTGATTCTGGTTCAGTGTCTCTCCTGAGGTTACAGCTGAGATGTCAGTTGGGGCTGTAGTCATCTGAAGGCTTGAGGGGCTGGAGGCTCTGTTCACAACATGGCTCAGAGACATGCACAGCAGGCCTTACCACGTGGCCCTCTCCACAGTGCTGCTTGAGCGATCTCCTAACATGGCGACTAGCTTCCCTCAGGCAAGTAAGCCAGGAGATGCCAAGGCTCTTACATATTTTCTGACCTAGCCTAGGAAGCCACTTTCTGTTATTTCCACAATGCCCTATCATTTGCACATATCAGTCATATTCATTCAGTAGGCGAGGCACCCACACAAGGGTGTGAATACCAGGAGGGAAGAATCCCTGGTGGCCATCTTGGAGGGTTGCTACCACAGATCGTTAGCCAACTCTTGAATTTCCTACTTTTAGATGCAATTTGTCTGAAAGCATAAACTGTAAATCCTGTTTTTCTCTAGTCAGATGAAAGCTGGGAGTAAGCTATATTGTTGTGATCAATAGATTCATTTCTTGGGGCTGATGCAACAAAGGACCACAAACTAAGTGGCTTAAAACAACAGAAATTTATTCTCTCAAAGTCCAAAACCAGAAGTCTGAAACCAACGTGTCAGCAGGGTTGGTTCCTCCTGGAGGCTCTGAGGAATAAACTACCCCCTGCCTCCCTTCAAGTTATTTGTTTTTATGGGGTTTTGGTTTTGTTGTTGTTGTTGTTTTGTTTTGTTTTTTTTTGGTAGAGACAGGGTCTCACTATGTCATCCAAGCTGGAGTGAAGTGGTGCAGTCATAACTCACTGCAGCCTTGAACTCCTGGACTCAGACAACCCTCCCACCTCAGCTTCCTGAGTAGCTGGGACTACAGGTGCCTGGCACCATGCCAGGCTCAGTTTTTAATTATTTTTTATAGAGATTATATCTTGCTATGTTGCTTAGGCTGGTCTCAAACTCCTGGCTTCCAGTGATCCTCCTGCCTTGGCCTCCCAAAGCACTGGGCTTAGCCGCATGAACCACCAGGCCTGGCCCCTCCTAGCTTCTGATGGTTGCCAGTAATCCTGGGCATTCAGTGGCTTGTAGACCATCACTCTACTCTCCTTCCATCTCCCATCACCTTTCCCTCTGTGTCTCTGTGTCCCTGTGTCTTCTGTTTCTTATAAGGACGCTCACTGGATTTAGAGCCCACCCTAATCCCAGTACAGTCTCATCTCAAACCTTACCTTAATTAATTCTGCAAAGACCATTATTCCAAATAAGGTCATATTACGAGATTCTAAGTGAACATGAATTTGGGTAAGACATTATTCAACCCTCTAAAATCAATAATCTTCCATCCCCACTAACAAAGCCTGACTCTATTTTGCTACAGTATTGCACCAATTTCTTTAATCTAGTAAATATGCTCCTTAAACTACTTCACCAACCTTACTAATATGAGAAGAAAGCAATTAATTAGGGTTTAAATTGGTTTTGTTATGACTCTGTTCACTGCATACATTTTCCATCTACTCTTAGACATTATCACTAAATGGGCAACATTTTGAACCAGAACAGTTGGGGCTGAAGTCATCTGAAGGCTTGAGTGGGGCTGGAGATGCAGTGCAGATGCTCTTGCAGTTTGGGTAAATATTGGCAAAAGTGTGTGAGTAAACACAGGGGTGAGCATATTTTTGAATTTCATATGTGAAAACTGCCTATTAGCAAAGTGATGTGCAAAAAACTACAGACATACATTAAATTCAAGTTCTAGGAGATATGCCCCTGACTAACATTAGACAGAGTCTATTTTCTCTGTCTCTGGTAGATACTGGGTCAGGATGCAGGAGCTCAGTTCCATTCCTGCCTGGTTGTGTTCAAAGCACTTAACTTTCATGGGGCTCAAATTCCCTATTTGTAAAATGAAGAGATTTGACTAAAGTCTCCTTTCATGCCTGAAAATTCACTGATTCTATAGGTAGCTCACAAGTAATTTATGGTGTTTATTCTACTTGGTGTAAGCCAGCAATAACTCTGTATGCTCTTAATAGCCTACTTTTTTATTGTGTTGATGTTTTGGTTGACCGAGACAGACTACATCTAAATGGCTCTTTACGCTTAAGGAACAGCCTGCCAATCTTTCCAAAGAGGGATGTTTGTCTGCAAATAGTCAGATTACTATTGAGTGATCGCCATGTAGCTAAGCACCATGATACATGCTTGTATATGAATGACTCATTTAATTCTTACAGCAATCCTGTGGGACATGTATTATTATTGTCAGCTGCATTTTACAGATGAGCAAACTGAGACATAGATATTATATGGCCTTCCCGAGTCACATAGATAGTAAGGGGGAGAATCTTGAGCTTTTACCCTATGTATGTTACTACACTAGACTGCTGAACTAAAGATTACTATAACAGCCTCTGTGGATTTTATATTTTGATCACTGTATTACGGATAGCTAAACTATAACTCTTAAATTATGGATAACTATACTATAACTACTATATAAAGGTTTTAAATACTGTGTATTAAAATTTTTCAAGATATTTAAATTGTATAGCATGCTATTTCAGAATCCAATAAAGAAAACATCTTATGATTCTTGAATTATACTGTCCAATACAGTAGTAATAGTCATGTGTGGCTATTTAAAGTATTTCAATTTGACTAAAGTTTAAAATTCATTTCCCCAGTCTCACCAGTCACATCTTAAGTATTTAAGAGTCACAGCTCATGGCTCCTGCATTG
Organism: Homo sapiens; assembly: GCF_000001405.40. Lineage (NCBI taxonomy): Eukaryota > Metazoa > Chordata > Mammalia > Primates > Hominidae > Homo > Homo sapiens. The sequence continues at coordinate 15,542,307 of NC_000010.11, read as the reverse complement.
GTCTGTGCAGATTAAGAGCATTTCTCTATTGAAGAAAGTTCTATGCAGCAGCACTGTTTTAAAATGTTAGGGAAGCATATTTCCATTCAAAATTGCAAGATTCGATCATACAATCAATTATTGTATCTATGATTATAGACCTGGACTGTGTTTAATAATAGCTTTGTGACTTTCCTTATATCCCCTCGTAAAGTAAGAATTAGGCCCCCTTTGCCCCATAACAGTGTCATTGGCCACCTTAAAAGGCAAAATCTCTATCAGGAATCTATTTTTCCCTAAGTGTGATGTTACAGGTTTGAATAAACACAACAGCCTCCTGCTCGCCCTCCTGACTAGTGAGCAAAGACAGCAAAACGAGGTGATATGTAGACCAAGGGGCCGAATGTACTGGCTTTAATTCAAAGCTTAGATATAAGCAGGAACCATGCAAGTAAACTTTTGGATTCATATTTGCTAAGTGAATAAAATATTGAAATTCTGCCATATGTAATGAAAAAAAAAAAAACTTGTGAGGTTGTGTTAGGAAGTTGTTTTGGGAGGGAAAGTGGAGGAATCTTCCCAAAAATATATCTGTAGTTGACATCAGAGGGTAAGCTCCTCAAGAGCAGGAGGAATGTTTTCTTGTCTTTGAATCTTCTTCCCAGCCCTTGTATCACCTGACACAGGATACTACTCATAATGCTTTAATGAATGAAACATCTCAGGCCAAATGTTAGGCTTGGCTGGTACACAAGTCCTTGTCTATTTAAAATGAAACCAGTCAAAACTAACCAACAAATGAGATCACAACAAATTATCCCTCATGGCCTAAGGCGAGTAGCTCAGGAAGCAGCAGATATTCTAGAAATGTAAAAACTTGTGATACCTTTGAACAAAGTGAACAAGAAGTGATTTTTGATGCCTTTCTCTGGGGTCTCTGGAAATACCACCTTGATGGCTTCGTTTGAGATGCCAAAGTGATGCAGGGCAGGTGAACCCCAAAATTGGGGCTTAGCCCATGAGCATTCTTGGCTTCATTCAGAAAAGAATTCAAGCAACCCTATGTTGCCTTTTCAGGTGACAGGTGACACTGCTTGTGGCAAAAAGGGGTTCATTCTTTATGAGAGGATGTAAGGAAAGTCACAATCTCCAACAGCCTTTTATTGAACTGGACCTGCTGCCTGAGGAGCAGGGCTAACTCCTAGGCAGCACACACAGAGCTGGACTTGCTGGGCTCTTGGCAACTCTCTTTATATCCACTTATACCCATGTTCAATTATATGCAACTTAAGGGGTGGGTGAATGCAAATTGAAGGGCAAGTTATTCAGAACTCTCTAGCAAAGGGGCAATAACTTCCAGGTCGTTGCCATGGAAATGGGCAATAACTTCTGGGCTGTTGCCATGGCATTTGTAAACTGTCATGGTGCTGGCGGGAGTGTCTTATGCTGATGAGCAATGAAGGCAGCTAGGGATTGCTTTAGTAGCTACTGGCTGCCTTCAGCCAGTTTCTTCCCTTCATCCTGTCTATACCAGGTCTTGTTTTAGTCATCAGGGTTGTGACCAGAAAACAAGTCCTGTCAGTCCCATACCTCAAAAGCACAGGTACAGCCAAGAATGCACCTATGCTGACATCTGTGCCCAGCCAGCCCATTCACCAGAAGAATCTTCCATGAGGAGCTTGGGCTCATGTTTGTTACGACATTTGGCTTTCCTCCCAAATACTTGCACCTTATCCTCCCTCAAGCCACAAGCTGTTCTGATTTAGTGAGTTTAGCAAAGACTTCTTGCATTTTGGGCAGAGGCGAGCATCTCATTTTCTTACATCTTTCAAACTGAAACCCTCCAGGTTGAGATGAGAAGGCTTCCAAACTGAGGAGAGAACATGGATGGAACTGGAGGCTATGTTAAGTGAAATAAGCCAGGCACAGAAAGACAAATATCACATGTTCTCACTCCTATGTGGGAGCTAAAAGGGTGGATCTCATGGAGGCAGAGAGCAGATTCATCATTACCAGAGGCTGGGAAGGGAAGGTGGGGAACAGGGATGAAAAGAGGTTGGTTAAAGGGTACAAAAATACGGTCAGAAGGAATAAGTTCTGATAGTCAGTAGTACAGTGGGGAGATTATAGTTAACAATAATTTATTGTCTATTTCAAAGTAGCTAGAAGGAAGATTTGTAATTGTATTAGTATGTTTTCATGCTGCTAATGAAAACATACCTGAGACTGGGTAATTTACAAAGGAAAGATGTTTAATTGACTCACAGTTCCACATGGCTGGGGAGGCCTCACAATCATAGCAGAAGGCAAAGGAGAAGCAAAAGCATGTCTTACATGGCGGCAAGAGAGCATGTGCAGGGGAACTCCCATTTATAAAACCATCAGATCTCATGAGACTTACAACAAGAACAGTAGGGGAGAAATCACCCTGTGATTCAATTATCTCCACCCGGCCCCACCCTTGACACTGGGGATTATTACAATTCAAGGTGAGATTTGGGTGGGGACACAGCCAAATCATATCAGTAATGTTCCCAATGCAAAGAAAAGACAAATGTTTGAGGTGACAGATACCCCAATTGCCCTGAGTTGATCATTACACATTGCATACAGGTAACAAAATATCACATGTACCTCCAAAATGCATGCAGCTAATAGATATCAGTAAAAATAAATAAGAATTAGGCTGCCTTTCCTCTTTGAGCCACACCCTAATTTGATTCTTTTCAGTTCCATAAGGCAGACAATTCAGGATCTCAGGGAACAGAGACAAGTCCAAAGAGTCATGATTGTTCTTTTATTTCCTGCCCAAAATAATGACCCGCAGTATTGGGTCATACTGGCTCAGCTTCTGGTCCACTTCCAAAGGGGAGATAGTGTCAAATGTCTGAGTAGTGCAAGGCCTCAACCCACAATGCTGACATAATTTATCTAGACTTAACCTGGGGAAGAGTCATGGTGATGAATAATGTTGGCTGCAACTCACCATGCTCCTTGGACACAACCAGGAGACAGATTCAAAGGGATGAGGTGTTTTGATACCTTTTATTTCATCTACTGAGACAGAGACTAGAGACCCTTAGTGACATTCAATCAGAATTCTGTTGCCTCGTTTGAGGTAGGTTCCATGATCAGAGCCAGTCACGAACTCCTTCTCACTTTGAGGAAGTGAGAGGCAAGCTTCCCTCTATTCTGTAGTTGAAATGGAAGAAGCAAGCACACACCCCAAAGCAGCTTTGCAAAATATCCTATATATTTGCATACAACATATCTTCCAGAAATGCTACACATAGATCTTTGTATAGTTTATAACCAGTCTGTCCATTCCCTTGTCTTCTAAGGAAACGTTAAAAAAAAAAAAAAAAAAAAAAAAAACCTTTACCTGAAAATGTCAGGTGGTTTCTTGAAGGGTCTTTCATAAAATTTGGAACTTCAAATACAAGTTGTCCTGAGTTCAAAGAAAACCTAATTCTAAGTTTAATAATTCAGAGAATCCAAGTGTTAGCCTCCTCATGATAAATTGTCATCTGAGTCTTTTTATCATTTAATTATTTTGTTGGCATGCATTTATTAGCACTAAACTAAATTAAAAGCACTTCTTTAGACTGAACAAAAATGATGTCATTTTAACACCTTAACAATTTGTCATAAACTTGAACATTTTCTTTTTTATTATTATTATTATACTTTAAGTTTTAGGGTACCATGTGCACAATGTTCACTGGCCTTTTCAAATTAGATTCTGCTTTTCTAAAGTGACATAGGCTTCCATAGAACGCCAATTTTCTTAACTATAGTTTTTTTTTTTTTTTTTTTCGAGACGGAGTCTCACTCAGCCGCCCAGGCTGGAGTACAGTGGCATGATCTCAGCTCACTGCAACCATCGTCTCCCGGGTTCAAGCGATTCTCCCGTCTCAGCCTCCCAAGTAGCTGGGATTACAGGCACCCGCCATCATGCCCAGCTGATTTTTGTATTTTAGTAGAGACGGAGTTTCACCATGTTGGCCAGGCTGGTCTTGAACTCCTGACCTCAGGTGATCCACCTGCCTTGGCCTCCCAAAGTGTTAGGATTACAGGCATGAGCCACTGCACCTGGCCAACTATAGAACTTTTTAACTGAATACCCAGGATGACTGAACCACTTGCATTTAGTTGATTTGCTTATGATCACTCTATTGATTGGCTGTTGCTTTTTATTGTTTTCTTAGAAACAGGGTCTTACTCTGTTGAAGTGCAGTGGTGCAATCACATCTCATTGCAGCCTCAAACTTCCAGGTTCCTCCCACCTCAGCCTTCTGATTGTCTGGGACTACAGACCCATGCCACCAGACCTGGCTAATTTTTGTGTTTTTTTTTTGTTTTGTTTTGTTTTTTGTAGAGATGAAGTCTCACTGTGCTACCCAGGCTTGTCTCAAACTGCTGGGTTCAAGTGATCCTCTTGCCTTGGCCTTCCAAGGCACCGGGATTACAGGCATGAGACACTGTGCCCAGCCAATTGTTACTTTTTATCCAAGAGTTGGAAGAGAGGTGCCTTAACGAATTCCCAAGTCTATACAACCTAAATGACAACAACACATTCCTCCTGTTACTTTTGAGCATCACGTCCTACCAAAAAGAGGGAGAACAACTTTTCAATGAGGCAGGACTCCTATCATTATGACACTAGAGTGTAGGGGAAAGTTACTATTTTAGCCCACACACTTCAGTTCCATACACGACATTCTATTCCGGTAGGAGGCTGATTGAGTGAAAGTTACATCTTCGTTTCCCTGTTAAAGAAGACCCGGTGTCTGCAAAAAGTCAATAGTAATTGAGTGGCTTTGGAAACAATAAATATTTAGTGCAAGTAGAGTCAGAAAAGAAGAATCTGTAGCAACATTTTGAAGTCCTAGGGAAAAGCATCACTTCCAGAGATATGGGAAAGACGGGTACAATTCGCTGTGTGCTCACCCACATCCTTAGCCCAAATTTCTGCACTGCCACAGTTTCTGCTTATTTCAGTGTCAGGTGCCAAATCCTAAAGAGGAATGCGTTATTATAATCTAAGAATACACTGTACATTGGGGCCTATTAACAGTTTTGTCATACAAACCAGGAAGAGGGAAACGTTTTCTGCCCTCCTAATCCAGGCTAGAAAGTTTACAATTCTTGGTGGATATGACTTGTTGCGTTATGTTGGTTTCTGTCCATGTAACGAACATGCAAACTGGTCAGAAACAGATTGTATGTAGGTTAATCCTAAATGGTCCCCTATTCTGTGATTGTTGCTTGAAATAGAAATTTCCTTTACAGGTGAAAGTTTTGCCACTAATTCCTTAGGTTTTGTCACCTCAAAAGGCTTGGTTTCTGGTAAATATTGAATATTTCAAAACGGGCTACATAAAATGGATATGTGCTTTAAAATAATTATTGGGAAGGAATTAAGCAGCTGGAAGTTGGGAGTGGGAGAGCTTGTGTCATTGCCTGACACACTAGGTCGCTAACTCCTCCGTTTGTTACCAACTCACTTTTATTGGTACCATGCCTATAAGCAAATCATTGTGCAAAAGTGCATGATAGAGACAGCCAGTGAGCTACAAACCATGGTTTAAATGATGCGGTAATGACAGACGAGCAAGGCATTTTCTGGGGATTAATAGCCAGCTGGGGCAAGACGAAGGTCCTCATTGTTGCCAAGGGATATTAACCCCAGCTGGGTTTTCAATCCTAAATTGCCTACAATGTGGCAGTGATTGCTATTACATGAGTAGATTGCTATATGGGAGAGAGGTTATATTGAACATAAGAATAATACTATTGTTACATAAAGAGCACAACTGGAAGCATTTAACTTTGGATGTGGAATCACTATTACACCTCTGCCCGTAATTGCTTTCCATGAGTTATTAAATACTCACCTGTGCCATGCCTCTGATCTACAACGCAGAACTTGGGTATCTTTGATGCTGACTCTGCTGATCAGTCTAATAAACCACGTTTTCCATTCCTTGGAGCTCCAGAGCATTCTTTAAAAGTGAAGATGCATTTTTTTTTCCTTCCAACAAGGGTGGAAGAAACCTTACTTTTGAAGAATGCGTTCAAAACAAAAAACAGATTGATCTAGGAGAGGTGGTGTTACAGGCTGTTTGCTTATCTTACTGTGCCCGGAATTGGTGGGTTCTTGGTCTCACCGACTTCAAGAACGAAGCCGCAGACCCTCGCGATGAGTGTTACAGTTCTTAAAGGCAGCGTGTCCAGAGTTTGTTCCTTCTGATGTTCGGATGTGTTCAGAGTTTCTTCCTTCTGGTGGGTTCGTGGTCTCGCTGGCTCAGGAGTGAAGCTGCGGACCTTCTCGGTGAATGTTAACAGCTCTTAAGGCAGCGCGGAGTTATTCGTTCCTCCCGGTGGGTTTGTGGTCTGGTTGGCTTCAGGAGTGAAGCTGCAGACCTTCGAGGTGAGTGTTACAGCTCATAAAGGCAGCGTGGACCCAAAGAGGGAGCAGCAGCAAGATTTATTGCAAACAGCAAAAGAACAAACCTGCCACAGTGTGGAAGGGGACCCCAGCAGGTTGCCACTGCTGTCCCAGGCAGCCTGCTTTTATTCTCTTATCTGGCCCCACCCACATCCTGCTGATTGGTCCATTTTACAGAGAGCCCAGTGGTCTGTTTTGACAGGGTGCTGATTGGTGCGTTTACAATCCCTGAGCTAGTCACAAAGGTTCTCCACGTCTCCACTAGATTAGCTAGATACAGAGTGTGGACATAAAGGTTCTCCAAGTCCCCACCAGAGAAGCTAGATACAGAGTGTGGATTGGTGCATTCACAAACCCTGAGCTAGACACAGGGTGCTGATTGGTGTGTTTACAAACCTTGAGCTACATACACAGTGCCGATTGGTGTATTTACAATCCCCTAGCTAGACATAAAGGTTCTCCAAGTCCCTACCAGTCAGGAGCCCAGCTGGCTTCGCCTAGTGGATCCCGCACCGGCGCCGCAGGTGGAGCTGCCTGCCAGTCCCGTGCCCTGTGCCCACACTCCTCAGCCCTTGGGTGGTTGATGGGACTGGGTACCGTGGAGCAGGGGGCGGTGCGCGTCAGGGAGGCTCGGGCTGCACAGGAGCCCACGGAGGGTGGGGGGAGGCTCAGGCATGGCGGGCTGCAGGTCCCGAGCCCTGCCCCTGGGGGAGGCAGCTAAGGCCCAGGGAGAAATCCAGCACAGCACCGGTGGGCCGGCACTGCTGGGGGACCCAGCACACCTACCGCAGCCGCTGGCCCGGGTGCTAAGCCCCTCATAGCCCACACTCACCCGCGGAACTCACACTGGCCCGCAAGCACCGCACGCAGCCCAGGTTCCCGCCTGCGCCTCTCCCCCCGTGCCTCTCCCTCCACACCTCCCGGCAAGCTGAGGGAGCCGGCTCCGGCCTCGGCCAGCCCAGGAAGGGGCTCCCACAGTGCAGCCGCGGGCTGAAGGGCTCCTCAAGTGCCGCCAAAGTTGGAGCCCAGGCAGAGGAGGCGCCGAGAGCGAGCCAGGGCTGTGAGGGCTGCCAGCATGCTGTCACCTCTCACTATTATTTGCTAGCACCCCAGGCTACGTCCAGGCACACACCAATTAGATTGAGGAGGTGAGAGCTTATCAATATCCCCTTCAAAGGAACTGTAGCCCTCATCTTATATCACTATCACCTTTTACAACTTCCTGAATTGCTTACTCTAATTAAAGGGAGAAAGGAAAGGGTGTCCAATTCAATAATGGAAAGATCTTTCATAATTGCCATCAAATGGATGGTACATGGAGTGGGAGGGTCGTCAAATGACCAAAGCATTAGATGTGTTCATTCACCCTTCATTCATGTGGTCAGAGATCCAGTATTGATTAAGCAAGCTCTCCTGTGCACATTGTTCTAGGTTCTGTAGAAGATATAGACATTATATTCCAAGGAATATGCCTTGCATCTTTGTATCATATAGTTGGGGAGAAAAGTAATAGAGAAAAATTAAAAATTAAACAACAATGTGAACCTTCCAAAAAATATGTCAGATACAGTCTCATCTCAGTCTCACTGAATCAGAATCTCTGAGACTGATCTCAGATATGTCTGAAGTTCAGCAACCACCAGAAACGGCAGTCAAGATTGGTGATGAGGCTGGGCATGGTGGCACACGCCTGTGATGCCAGCACTTTGGGAGGCTGAGGCAGGAGGATCACTTGAGGTCAGGAGTTCAAGACCAGCCTGGCCAACATGGAGATACCCTGACTCTACTAAAAAAAATACAAAAATTAGCCAAGCATGGTGGTACTTGCCTGTAGTCCCAGCTACTTGGGAGGCTGAGGCAGGAGAATCACTTGAACCCGGGAGGTGGAGGTTGCAGTGAGCCGAGATCACACCATTGCACTCTAGCCTGGGCAACAGAATGAGACTCTGTCTCAAAAAAAAAAAGATTGGTGATGTGATGAATGGAAAATATGAGAAATCAAACTGCAGCCAACAGCAGGAAGGGCAAAGGAAGGAAGTGAAAGAAAGTTCCCTTAGAGAAACATATTAATCCACATTCTACATCCTAGAGTTCAAATGCTGTCTATGATGCATTAGGAAACTTTCGCATTTATAAATGCAGAATCTGTAAGAGAAAAGCGTTCCATCTAGAAAGATTTTGATGCAGAGATGCAGTTTTCAAACTATTTATCAAAGACATGACTTCAAGAACAGTAATATTTTCTATCAATTTTTTATTGAACTTGGAGATAAAAGAAAACTTCTTCATTGGAGGTTTGGGAGCATGGAAACGCATTTGAGAATATAATTATAATCCTTACCCACAAGATCTCATTACTAGAGTTTCTCTTGTTTCTATCAGTGAGGATAGCAAGGAAATTAGATTGAAATCACCAGGTACACACATGATTTTATGAGCAAAAGTTTCCGAATTGTATAAAAACCCTTCTCAAACAAACAAAACTCCGACTTTTAGTTAAAATGGAAATGCTAAGAGAGAAGAGATCATTAGAATAACATCCAAAAAGGAATTTTCCCAAATGAGTAGAGTTGTTTATTCTGGAGGGTAGGAGTAGAAAGAAACATTCAAAGATATTGTAACTTTAAGTATATAAAAGTTACATACTATGTCCTGCCCTTACCATGTAGAGGAAAAAAGCGTTTATCTAATGGAGAAAAAAATTCTGCCACAGGGGAAAAAGAACTTTGTAAAAAATATTTAAGGAAAATTATTGGACTCATGAGGCCCAACATTGGATTATAGACAGTGATGTACTGGTAGATTTTTACTAACTACTTTCTGGGAAGGAAAAAGAGCCCCGATCCGTAACATTTGCCACTGATTTCAAGCCACCACCATGATCGTCACGGAATACAGAGCTGGGAAGAGATGCCAGGTCCCACACCATTATGTAGTGTTTCCTCTTACAGATACAGTAGACATAAATCACATCCTGAGCACAGATAATAGTCAAATGTAATAAAATAGCAAGCATGAGGTTTTGAGTATTTATTACCTTTTTTTTAGAAATATAATTTACTTAAGTTTACATTTATATAATTTAAGTTGTAATAATGGCTCTGTTTAACAACCGGCACCCAAAAGTCTTGAAATGATTAACACTTGGGTCTCAAGAGCCATGATGAGCCAGTTAGGACCCAGCACTGGGTAGATCGAACCATTGTATCCAACAAAAGAGAGCCACAGAAGCTTCAGTTCTCCAAGCAGCCTTCCTGAGTCACTCTTAAATATTTTAACATTGACTTTTATCAACAGTTAATATGAGACCCTATTAAACAAACAGAGCTTTCACTGAGAAGCTCTGTTAAAAACACTGTTTGGCTCTAGGTCAGTGGTTCTTAACTGGGGTGATTTTGTTCCCCTGGGGACAACTGGCTGTAACTAGAGGCTTTTTTTTTTTTTTTTTTTTTTTTTTTTGAGAGGGAGTCTCACTCGGTTGCGCAGGCTGGAGGGCAGTGGCACGATCTCGGCTCACTGCAACCTCCGCCTCCCAGGTTCAAGCAACTCTCCCGCCTCAGCCTCCTGAGTAGCTGGGATTATAGGGACCCGCCACCATGCCCAGCTAATTTTTTGTATTTTTAGTAGAGACAGGGTTTCACCATCCTGGTCAGGCTGGTCTTGAACTCCTAACCTGGTGATCTGCCCACCTTGGCCTCCGAAAGTGCTGGGATTCCACCACGCCCGGCCGGCATCTTTGATTGTCACAACTGAGGGAGGGTGCTATTAGCATCTAGCCAGGGGCCAGGGATGCTGGCCAAACATCCTACAATGCAGAGGACAGGCCCCCCCACCCCCACCCTAACTCAGAATGCTGACAGTGCTTAGGCCAAGAAACCCTGTTGTGAGTCTTGTGTAATCTGTGAAATATACTACGATTTTTTTTTCTTTTTGAGACAGAGTTTTGATCCTGTTGCCCAGGTCGGAGCGCAGTGGCGTGCTCTCAGCTCACTGCAACCTGCGCCCCCCAGGTTCAAGCGATTCTGCTGCCTCATCCTCCTGAATAGCTGGGATTACAGGCGCTTGCCACTATGCCAAGCTATTTTTTTTTTTTCTGGTTTTTAGTAGAGACAGGGTTTCACCATGTTGGCCAGGATGGTCTCAAACTCCTGACCTCAGGGGATCCACCGGCCTCGGCCTCCCAAAGTGCTGGGATTACAGGCATGAGCCACTGCGCCCAGCCAATACATTTCTTTATAACTTACTGCCAGTTTCTCTCCTAAAATATTTCCGTCCATCTGATAAGAATTTTGTCACCCATTATGTTTCTCCTTTGTCCTTCACTAGCAGTAACTATATAAATTCTTTGCTTGCTCCTTTTTAGGACTCTGATTTTCTGTTTTTATTTTAACCTTATTATACACAGTCTTTTATTAATGAGATAAATTCTCCTTAGAAATAGGAAGAAGATAAATGGATGGATAGATGGATGCTTGGATAGATGGATGCTTGGATAGATGGATTCACGCTTCGACGCTTAGATGGATGGATGCATGGATGCATGGATGTGTGGGTGGATGGATGAATGCTTGGGTGGGAGGAAAAAAAAGTTAAAAGAGAGAAAATTAAAAAGGAAGGAGGAAATTTTGCCTTGAAATGCAAAACACCAAAAATAATTAGGTGGCTGCCAGTATAACTCTTAAAAACTTTATATGAAATATATTTAAATAAATACTTTTACTTTCAGAGAAAAAATGATCCCTATGCTCTTGCATCCCTGGTGTCCTTTGAAGTTAAGAAGATGCCTTATACAGATCAGCCAGCAAAACTCCCAGAAGGAAGCATAGTAGTGAGTATCTTTAAATATATATAGGCACAAATAATTTAATTGAAATAATTGTTTTAATCACTGTCTAGCTTGTGCTAGGCTTTAGTGTTTACATTGACTTGAGAAAAATTTTCCTCTTCAGCTCACCAATTTCTTACATTGGTCTGGTAATTTCCTAGTGCCTTTTGATCTGGTTTTTGAACTTTCAATATAAATGTCTACCCCAGAAAATTACAGGGCAGGACTAATACCATTTTTAAATGAAGACATTTTATTCAGAGGAATTCAGATAGCAGTTATCATTACAATGAAATCGTACTGATTCTTTCATTTTAAACAGCATGGTTAGTCAAGTAAGAAGGGAAGAAATTCTTTCTTAGGGATAGTAGGCTACGGAGCAGCCGCATGGCTTTGGACAGTCATTTTTTCTTGCTATGCAAAGAACCTTCATTTTGACCTAGAAGGGAATAAAAAAGTCTACTCTGAGCTTCAACTGAATGAAATGTCTTTTTTTTTTTTTTTTTTTTTTGAGAGTCTCGCTCTGTCGCCCAGGTTGGAGTGCAGGGGCACGATCTCAGCTCACTGCAACCGTTGCCTCCGAGGTTCAAGCAATTCTTCTGCCTCAGCCTCCCGAGTAGCTAGGACTACAGGTGCCTGCCACCACGCCCAGCTAATTTTTGTATTTTTCATAGAGACAGGGTTTCACCATGTTGGCCAGGCTGATCTCGAACTCCTGAACTTGTGATCCGCCCGCCTCAGCCTCCGAAAGTGCTGGGATTACAGGCATAAGCCACTGCGCCCAGCTGAAATGTCTTTATTAAAAACTGAAACTACTAAACATTACTGACACCCAAACATCTATCACAGAACAACTCTGATCATCCTCTGCAACCTGGCAAGGCCATGCAAAGGGGATAAAGGAATGAATGATGAGACCAGCAGGCACCATCACCAAAACTCTGCCTTTTCAGTTATTTGTGAAGGTGGTCAGAGACTTTTGAAAAGCATAGTGCTCCAAAAAACAATATTAGGATTCCACCTTCATCCCTTGGTAGCCAGTGGATATTTCCCATCCACAGCTTGAACTCTTGGTCCCCCAGACCTTGTTACTCAAAATGTGATTGCAGATCAATGGCATCAGCATCATCTGGGAGGTTCTTAGAACTACAGAAACAGACCTCTCCAGATCTGCTGAGCCAGGCTCTGCATTTTATCAAAATCATCAGAGCATTCCTAGGCATGGTCAAGTTTGAGAAGCACTGCTTTGGATGGTAGATAAGTTGATAATATTGTCATCTCTTTCTAGCCTAGATCATAAACTTAATTGTAACACTGAATCTTTCTAGCCTGGTCTACTTTCAGTGATCTAAATTAACCACTTGATTTGTGTTTCTCTACCCTGAGTATGCATCAGAATCATCACTCATGCAACTTAAAAATACATACATGCTAAGACTTCTCCCCAAATATTCAGTAGGTCTGGGGTGGGACCCTGACACTGTGCTTTAAAAGTCTTATGAGAGACAATTCTGCAGGGGAGCCAGGGTTGAGAGCTTCTAGCACAGGCAGGTGGCCTAGAGGAAAATCCAAGGTTTTCAAGATAGAGTCACCTGGGTTTGATCCTGGCTCTGCCTTGCTCTAATTAGGAAACCTTTGGGAAGTCACTTTACCTCTCTGAGACAGTCCACCACATCCACCTGATGGAATTGTTAACAAGATCAATAAGATTATCTGTATAAAGCTCTAGCATTGTACCTGGAACAAGTTAGTGTCAAATCTCAATAAATGAGAGTAGCCTCTCAAAATGTCTCCCCTTCTCTGGCTAAGTCCAGTAAGTGCAAATTGAAAGTGACAATTAAGATTTGCACAGTTGTGGGAGGATCACTTGAGCCCTGGAGTTCAAGGTTACAGTGAGCTATGATCGCATGCACTGCACTCAACCTGGGCGAGACCTCGTCTCAAGAAAGGAAGGAAGAAGGGAAGAAAGAAAGGAAGAAAGGAAGAAAGGAAGAAAGGAAGGAAGGAAGGAGAAAGGAAGGGAGGGAGACAGGGAGGAAGGAAGGGGAAGGGAAGAAGGAAGGAAAGAAAGAAGGAAAGAAAGAAGGAAGGAAAGGAAGGAAGGAAGGGAGAAGAAAGATAGATGTGCACAGTTAAAATATTTCAGTAAACTTCGGTGGTATTTAAAGCAAGCACAGCCACATCTTTCTTCATTTAGACCACCTCTTTTTCTTTCCAGTGATGTCCTCTGTGTTTTGGATTTATGTTCAACCTAGAAAACAGAGGCTTTGGGATTTTAATATAGAAGTTTCATCTAAAAATGTTCAAAGGCTTATAGCTCTAAGGGAAATAAATCTGGGCCCTTTTGTTTTTTCCAAGCACGTGCTCCCTAGCAGAAACACATGTTACGGTTGGTTCCATCCACAGGATTGCATCTTTCTGCACTGGCCACAGGTGACAGCCTGCTGTTCTCAACTCATCTCAAAAGATCCACAAAATAATCCGATACATGCTTTCCCCAGCCCTGCCACCCCTGTTATTGAATTGCCAAAAAAAAAAAAAAAAAAGACTTTTTATCTGATGTAGGTGATTTACCACATCAGTTATGTGAAGGTTATTGGGAAAAGATCCAGGAATGGAAACAATTTCAAGTCTCCCAATATCTGACTAACTGGAGAAGACCTTGCCAGTGCAAAGTTAGCTATGCAGCACACAGGGAAATGCTGCCTTACTGTGGCTTGATGTGAGAGAAGAACTCTGAGTGGAGCTGGCAGACATTTTTTTATAGTGAGCTCTTTTCAAAGGCTTTGCCATTCTTCTCTTGAAGGGAGCCCAGCAGGGCCAAGAGGGCGGCTCACACCTGTAATCCCAGCACTTTGGGAGGCCAAGGCAGGCAGATTGCTTCAGCTCAGGAGTTTGAGATTAGCCTAGGCAACATAGTGAGACTCTGCCTCTACAAACAAACAAACAACAACAACAAAAAGCATAAAATTAGCAAGGCGTGGTGATGCTCGCCTGTAGTCCCAGCTACTCAGGAGGCTGAGGCAGGAGGATTGCTTGAGCCTGAGAGGCGGAGGTTGCAGTGAGCCGAGATCACGCCACTGCACTCCAGCCTGGGCAACAGAGCAAGAACCTGTCTCAAAAAAAAAAAAAAAAAAAAAAAAAAAGCCCAGCCGAAAGGGAATTGCTTTAAGGTGGTAGAATCCATTGGAAATGGTAGTTGGAGAAGCATCAGAGCTCTAATCTGCCCCTGAGGAAAGTCATTCTTTGTTCCTTCTTCTATAATGAGACTACTATTTGCTTGTTTTCCTAGACCCTTTTGTGTGATGATTAGTTTGTTTGTACTCCCTTTTCAACACGGTCATAATTCAGCCATCTCTTGAGGCCCGTATTAGCTTTACTTATGGAAGAGAATCACAATTCCCGTTTGCTGCTTGCATAGTATCTGTGTTTGTAACAAATAAAATTCCTCATGTCCTGTGATGCTTGTCATGTCCGGAGACAAGGGAAAGATTGCATGATTCGAAGAAATATGCCTGAACACTGAATCGTTACAGTGCAACAGAAGAAACTGAAATTCAATTATTTGAACACTTTTTTGGCTCACCAAGGAACTTTCGCCTTTGCATGCCATACAAGTAACACTCAATTCTATAATTTACATCTAGCAGAAAGTGGGAGTGTCTTGTGTAATTCCAAAGGTGGTTATTACAAAATATTTCATGAAAATCTTCATTTAAAAACTCATATGTAAACTGTGAACCCATTTGGTTTTCAGAATTGTTAGCAAAACTTCTGCACCTTAATACCTTAATATGGAACTCTTATATTAAACAATTATTTGGAGTTGAAATTTATGATGGGAACTGCTTGTCTCATAAGGAAACTGTTTAAATGTTGTCAAAATGTGGGCTCAGCTAGTACACCTCATGTTATTATTTTGTTCTAAATGGCACCGTAGGTAGGGTGTCTTGGTACGTTTATTTAAAACATTCTTCTGACCCCACTGAAGTATGTTTACACAAGATTTTGTGATACATAAATAGAGACGTCAACATTAATTACCATTGCAAATACAAGGGAGCTTTTTCCTTCTACCTTGGTATTTTTTGTGAAAATATACAAAAACATATCATAAATGTCCACAATAAAATGTAGGCATATTAAAGGTTTATTTATGGTCTTTCCTCCATAATAAAAAACAACAAGATTTATGACATGATGAAGGTAAGATTAAATGTTCCCTACTTAGAATCATTTTAAGAAAATCTAAACCACTTACAATTTATGAATACTACTTTCTAAAATTGCAGACAATTATAATAAAGTGATTTGTTAAACTTACTTAAAGCTATTTTTAAAATAGCTAGAAGTACTTGATAAATAAAACTGTATTAAAATAGTTTATTGACTAGCTGGCACAAGATTGAATTGTTCTCCCTAAATTTAAGTACTCCAGTTACTCAACATGAAACTTCTTTCTTAAAGCAACTGAACTATCTCATCACAAGCCCCTGTGCCGAAAGTAAACCTCTAGTCCTAAATATGCTTTGTCTTCTGCCCTGAGTCTACCTTCTTGGTAAAAGAATCTTATAATGGGCCGGGTGCGGTGGCTCACATCTGTAATCCCAGCACTTTGGGAGGCCGAGGTGGGTGGATCACCTGAGGTCGGGAGTTTGAGACCAGCCTGACCAACATGGTAAAAGTTCATCTCTACTAAAAATAGAAAATTAGCCAGGCATGGTGGCGCATGCCTGTAATCCCAGCTACTCGGGAGGCTGAGGCAAGAGAATCTCTTGAACCTGGGAGGCGGAGGTTGCGATGAGCCCAGATCACGAGATAACACTCCAGCCTGGGCGATAACAGCACAACTCCGTCTCAAAAAAAAAAAAGAATCTTATAATGAAAGATTTGGGTAATTCAGGCAATCTCATCATTGTGTGAAATTATACAGAATGTTCTAGAACTATGCAGTCCAACATGGTAGCTATTTGGCTAGTGGAACTGAAGAACTTGTGGTTTTATTTCATTTTCACACATTTCAATGTAAACTTAAAAACTGAAGCAGTAGATAGTATTTTTCCATTAAACACGGTTGTGTTACTTTCACAGGACTACATTTCACTTTAACCATTAAAAATTTAGCAATTGTTATGTGCTGCAAATGTGAAATACATATTGGATTTTGGAGACTTAGTAAAAAAATGTAAATTATTAGTATTTTTATATCAATTACATATTAAAATGATAATAGTTTAATCATTAATAAATAATACATGATTCATAATAAAGAACCAATTACATGTTGAAAGGATAATACTTTTATCATTAATAAATAATAGTTGATATTTAGGGTTAGATAAACTATGTTATTAAAATTAACATCCCCTGCTTCTTTTCACTCCTTTTTTTTTTTTTTTTTTTTTTTGAGATGGAGTTTCGCTCCTGTCACCCAGGCTGGAGTGCAGTGGCTCTATGATGTCAGCTCACTGCAACCTCCGCCTCCCGGGTTCAAGTGATTCTCCTACCTCGGCCTCCCTAGTAGCTGGGATTACAGGTGTGTGCCACCACGCCTGGCTAATTTTGTATTCTTAGTAGAGATGGGGTTTCATCATGTTGGCCAGGCTGGTCTTGAATTCCTGACCTCAGGTGATCCGCTCACCTAGGTCTCCCAAAGTGCTGGGATTACAGATGTGAGCCACCGTGCCTGGCCCTTTATTCCTTTTAACGTGACTATTAGAACATTTTATGTTATGCTTGTGGCTTGCATTGTATTTCTATTGGGCAGTGCTGATCAAGGGCAAGGTTATGTCTTGAAGCTGATAATACCTACAGAACTTCAGAGAACATAGGGTGTTTAATAAATATTATTTGAAATGATATTTCAAATCAAATCAAACCACCAGGCATGGTGGTACACCCCTGTAGTCCCAGCTACTCAAGAGGCTGAAGCAGGAGGATTGCTTGAGCCCAGAAGTTGGAGGCTGCAGTGAGCTATGATCATGCTACTGCACTCCAGCTGAGGCAACAGAGCAAGACCCTGTCTCCAAAAATACATAAATAAATAAATATTATTTGAAATGAATGAAAGATTCTTCATATATGTCAGTGTTTAGTCATGAGAAACTCTAACATTTATGACTTATTTTTCCTCATTATTTATTATCTAATGGCTACTTCTATCTAAGCTTCCTGTAGGTTTGTCAAAATGAGCTGTAAGACAAATATAGATATTAGAAATAACAAAGTTTTGGTGTTTGTCAATATTTTCTTTCCTGCCCAAGCTTTCCCCAAAACTAGCCTGCAGTCCCACAGCACTAACACATATTTAAAGAAACTTTGGTCCTGTAAAAGTGATCAGTTAAGTCGTCTTCTCTTAAGCTTGCCTATGCAGTCAAGTCTCTAGTTTATCTATACAGAGCGTGGAGTTTCAGGAAAAGCTTTGCTTTACTGGTTTCCACCTGCACATGGAATGCCCCATTGCCATTTACTGATTTAGAGACATGAATATGTCACATGACTCCCCATCACTCTATCCCAGAAAGACCTCTCTTGCCGAGACATATACGTGACTCTTCTAATGATGTTGTGTGCAGAGGCAAGGACAAGGTCGCCTGATTCAGAGAAATATGTCTGAACACTGAATCATTACAGTGCAGCAGAAAAAAATTATTCAGTTATTTGAATAATTACCTTTGGCTCCTTGTCTAACTCTTTCCAGTAAGAGTCAAGCATCTCCTCTGCACGGGACACCAGATGAAATGCTCTGGGTCGCTGTTGTTGGTTTTCTGTATTTCCACTGTTCTTACTGTAGTGACTTCTAGACTATGCTGCAAAAGCCTACATAAGTTTAGGAAAACAACAAGGGTGAAGGAAGGTCTCTGCAGCTGCACCAATTTTAGATTGAGAAGATTGGGCCGCCTCAGTACCATATGGATGTCCTACAGGTAAAAGGACCAGGAAAGCAGAAAGCAGGCATGGGAGGAGAGTCACTCAGAGGTTGCCTTCTTTTAAGACTCTGTGTATTCTTTCCCGCTAATGAATTGCACAGGATGACATGGAGGAAATGCATATCATATGCATAATCCTGACATCAGAGAAAAGGTATGAAGTGTTTTTTGTTTTTTTGTTTTGTTTTGTTTGAGACAGAGGCTCGCTCTGTTGCTCAGGCTGGAGTGCAGTGGTGCGATCTTGGCTCACTGCAACCTCTGCCTCCCAGGTTCAGGTGATTCTCCTGCCTCAGCCTCCTGAGCAGCCGAGACTACAGGTATGCACCACCACCACCACAACTGTCTAATTTTTTTTTTTTTTTTTTTTGGTATTTTTAGTAGAGATGGGGTTTCACCATGTTGGCCAGGCTGGTCTCGAACTCCTGACCTCAAGTGATCCATCTGTCTCAGCCTCCCAAAGTGCTGGGATTACAGGCGTAAGCCACCACACCTGGCCCAAAGTGGTATTTTTTAAACAAACTTAATGTTACTGGAAGCAGACTGGCAACAGTTTTGATGATGAGAATTTCAGAATTTGGGAACTGAAAGGGACTTTCCGAATTTGTGATCACTGCAGGGGGTCATCTTCCCACAGACTTTTTAAAGACGCTGCTGTCAGGCTCTTTGGGAGCAAATGTAAACAGAAAGCCAGTACGTTCTGTAACTATCCCTATAAAGTTGTTCTCTGCTTCAAAAGACCCTAAGAATCATATCCTCATCAATTTCACATTTTCATTATACTTTTTCATCACTGCTACAAAAAAAACTTTAAATGTCTTTGTTAGCTCTTTGTAAGTGATCTTCTCTGCTTATTTCTCTGGATAGCCCAGTTATATAGATGATACATCAAAACCTGCAATAACCAAGGGGCAAAGTCACCTAGCAAAGTACTCAGTAGGTATCCACTCAGCCCATTCCATTTCTTTTTATTAAGCTAACAATTTGAAGAGCCTCTATTTCAACTCCTTTAGCATGTTTTGTGTTTTCTCTAACTTATAAAACTTGAACTCTTTTCTGTTTAACATAAAATAGTAGGCAGGAACTTAAGATAATAATTTTTTTTTTTTTTGAGACTGAGCCTGGCTCTGTCAACCAGACGGAGTGCAGTGGCACCATCTTGGCTCACTGCAATGCAACCTCTCCCTCCCGGGTTCAGGTGATTCTCCTGCCTCAGCCTCCCAAGTGGCTGAGACTACAGGTGTCTGCCACCATGCCTAGCTAATTTTTATATTTTTAGTAGAGACAGAGTTTCACCATGTTGGCCAGGCTGGTCTCAAACTCCTCACCTCAGGTGATCCACCTGCCTTGGCCTCCCAAAGTGCTGGGATTACAGGCATGAGCCACTGTGCCCAGCCTTAAGATATTAATTAGGTAAACCAGGAGAGGAAAGATCCATTGCCTGGCTCACCCTGAATTACCTATTAGAAAATTTTGGTGAGCTCTGACACATGCTCAAAGTAGGGACTAAAACTATATTGTGTCCTCAATGGACTTGGGGGTTATGAGGAAGTAATATTTACATGAAACCTCGGAATTTTCCATGGCTCCAGATTTCTCTCCTGGGGTCATTGTAACTGGCCTGTGAGTAGATGATCACTACTGTCCCCTTCAGTTCCAAAATTCTGAAATTCTCATTATCAAAACTGTGTGAGTCCACTTCCAGCAATATTATGTTCATCTTGAAATACCACTTCATGCTGTTCCTCTGAGTGCAGTCAAATGTTAGGATTCAGCAGTAATTTCATACATGTCATCAGGTGTAATTGACTAAGGAAGGGTACATAACAAGAGAAATAATCTAGTTCTTGATTTGCTCATGTAGCTGTATACATGCAAATAATTATTTTCTATTGATATATAATTGTACAAATTTGTGGAGTACATGTGATATTTTGATACACACGTGCACATAACGTATAGTGATCAAATCAGGGCATTTAGGATATCTATTGTCTCAAACATTTATCGTTGCTTTGTGTTGGGAACATTTCAAATCTCTTCTGGCTATTTTGAAATAGATAATAAATTATTGTTAATTAGAATCACCCTACTGTGTTACTGAACACTAGAATGTATCCCTTCTACCTGACTATGTTTGTCAGCCAACTTCTGTTCATCCAGCCCTCCCCACTCTTTGCCAGCTTCTGGTAACCATCATTCTACCCTCTACCTCCATGAGATCCACTTGTTTAGCTCCCACTTATGAATGAGAATGTGTAATATTTGTCTTAGATCATTTCAGAATAAATTACTTAGGCTGCAGCATCCAGGTAGAATTGCAACCACGGTGGGTCCTTGAAATTGATTTCTTCGACGTATGAACTACGTTTCTCATCCTTAAACAGTGGTGCGCAGAGTGTACGTAATGTCACCGTGGTGATGGACTGTCATGCTTCACACTGATGTGTCAGATGAAATAAAGATAAGATGAAATAATTCCTAGCGAGGAAAGTTAACAGGCATAGGAAGAAAATGTAATGATGACTAGGTTGAGGCCAGCCTTTTTCTCATGAAGAACATCTATCACATCCTTGGCATGTTCCTGTTAAGGTGGAATGACTCTCTCCCTATCTCACTCCTCTGTCCATGCCTTTATTAGTGTACATATAAATGACATTTGGGGCTGGAGAATCGAATGAATTGAGTCATCAGCATCTGCTGCATGGGGGATGCGGATCAAGAAGGAAGGAGCAATAAAAAACCAAGACAAGCTGAGAAGGGCACCATCAGGGCGCTCAACTCTAGTTAAGAAGACAGAAGCATCTGGGCACAGTGGCTCACACCTGTAATCCCAGCATTTTGGGAGGCCGAGGCGGGTGGATCACTTGAGGTCAGGAGTTCTAGACCAGCCTGGCCAGAATGGTGAAACCAGGTCTATACTAAAAATACAAAAAAAAAAATAGCTGGGTGTGGTGGCACATGCCTATAACCCCAGCTACTGGGGAGGCTAAGGCACAAGAATTGCTTGAACCTGGGAGGTGGAAGTTGCAGTGAGCCAAGATCGTGCCATTGCACTCTAGCCTGGGCAACAGAGTGAGACACTGTCTCACAAAAACAAAGAAACAAATACACAAAAGAAGACAGAGGCAACAAAGTGAGCATGGTTAGGGCTCAGTGCTAGGGTTCAGGCTGTGAAAACACCAATACATTTCCTGCTAGGGCAAATCTCAGAGCCGCCAACCTTAGTCATTAGTCTCAGCCTCTCCTGACGGGTGGGTTATAGAATGTGTCCTGGAGTTCTTGAGTGTGTTTCAGGATTGAAATGATCCTTTCAACCAACACAATTAAAACTAGGAGACCTTAGACCAGCTGAGTGGAGGCAATGCTTGCCACTCTGATAAAACCGGAATACTACGTTAGTGAATAATGTCTGCATCCAAGAATAATGTAGCGCTCTTTTCTTTGACAAAAGGTTTTAGCAGCATGGCTGGGTCTCTCCTTGGGAATCTGCAGCTTCTTTGCTGCCTCGGCCTCCGGAGGCACAGGCCTCCAACACAGGAGCAATAGAAGTGCTTCTGCCCACATAGGGAGTGGTTCATAGACACTGAGCATGCAGTCAGATTGGGAAGGTCTCATTTTCCTCTAAGCCCCCTTGCAACAGTGCGGGATGAAATGGGCTCCAGTCCCCATATGATCTTTGTTTTTGTGTTTTTGTTTTTTGGCGGGAAGGAGAAAGAAGAGTGTCACCCTGTTGCCTAGGCTGGAGTGCAGTGGCATGATCTTGGCTCACTACAACCTCCACCTCCCAGGTTCAAGCAATTTTCGTGTGTCAGCCTCCTGAGTAGCTGGGATTACAGGTGTGCGCCACCACACCCAGCTAATTTTTTGTATCTTTAGTGGAGATGGGGTTTCACCATGTTGCCAAGTCTGGTCTCGACCTCCTGAGCTCAGGCAATCCACCCACCTTGGCCTCCCAAAGTGCTAGGATTACAGGCATGAGCCACCGCTCTGGCCTGATCTTTGGATTTAGGATTAAAGTCATCTCCAACGCATCAAAAAAAATTGAACATTCACTTTGCACACTACAGTTACTTCCATAAAATACAAGATGCCTAGCCTCATGCTCTGGGATATCCTTCACTGATACAGCACAGAATCTAGGGATAAAGAGACCTAGTATTGACACTAATTCGTTGTGTGAATGAATCACTTAGTCCCTCTGGGAGTTAATTTTCTCACCTGTAAAATGAGGGGATTAGATTAGAGATTTCTACCCTTCTTGCACATCCAAGGATTCATGGTTGTTCACAAGCTTACCTCTCTCAATGAGGCTAGCTGAGTTCTAAGGAGACACATGGTAGACAGATTCATTCAGTTTTTTATTGAGTCTACTTTTGGCCATTGTTCCCATAAAAGTTCCAGCCCAAGTGAAGGCCATTCCTTTCCACCTTGTCAATTCCTGATGCACTCAATTCTATTCTAGGGTTTCTGTGATGCAAAGCCACCCACCCACCAAATCTCTAATTAGACTTTTACAGAACCAAGCAGATCTAGGAACATGCTAGCTTTTAAGAGTTCATGTTCGAGTGCTACCTCTCAAATATCCCCTAGATGATTTCAATTGTCATATGGATCCTTTCAGATCAACTTCCGATGTTGTACTGGTAATTACTATTTTATTTCACCAAATAGTTTTCGCATTAGAGCTCATTTGCTTTGTTTTCCATTTCAGATTAAGACATCAGTTATTTGGGCAACTCCGAATGTTTCCTTCTCAATCCCATTATGGGTAATAATACTAGCAATACTTCTTGGATTGTTGGTTCTCGCCATTTTAACCTTAGCTTTATGGAAGGTAAGTTGATTTACTTTGTTTTCCTTTTAAACTAGAGGGGCTGTTGAGGGAATTTAGAGGGATACAGTTAGGGATTTTAAAAGACAATTATGGAGGCATTTTTGGAAATTTTGAACAGTCTGAAGGATATAAAGGGAAAATCGTGTCTTGTTTGCTTTGGCATACTTAATATGTTTATATAGCTGACATTTAAGATGACTAGAGGTGCTTAATGTTGCTTTCATCTTGAGATTTCTTGTAAATAAATGTAGAGAGAGTTAGGCTGTATTAACTAAGGCCTGTGATCTTCTTTCCAATATGCTTAGAGTGATAATATTCTAATGAAGACTTCTTTTTCTTGTTTAATTAACCAAGATCATAAGCTTTTTATTGACATGGCCCTATCATCAATCCTTTGACATTTTTTATAAGCACTATGCAAATGCAATTAATATAGGTCAATTCTGATTTTTAATTTCAACTACTAATGAGGCCAAATAGATTATGCATGTGATAGGATGCCTGGACTTGGTTTTTAATCTTGCCAATTAGTTTGTCTCCACTGGGAAGCCTGAACTTAGTCTTTGATGTGTTTTACTGAGGTTTGTTCTAAAAGTCCACAACAGGAATTAATTTCTGGCCCACCAACCTAAACAATTGCCAAGTTTCACAGAGCCTTCCATTCCCAAATGGAAATGACGTCCCAGTTACATAAGAGTAATTAACCCAGTCACATCTTTGATAACTATGTGGTTTTCCCTAAAATCATAGTGCGCTTTTATTTTGAAACAATATGCAGCATGACTAATAGACCTATAAACTGAGAAAACCTTGGCTTTGAGTTAAGGAATGGCGTTTCTGATCGTTATCAGCTCTTTGTGACATCCTACACCCATGTGGTCTATGACATGCCTTTAGAATGGACTTTTGTGTTGTTCTGTCACTCATAGTAACTGTATTTCCAATGAGTATAAGATACAACCATGTGTGCCAATTGACAGGATATTCCAGTAGCTCTGAGAAAGAGAGATGACTCAATGTCTCTAAGCCAAACCCAGTTAATTGGCTTCCAACATGAGAAACAGAAGAAAGAATTGAGGTTCCAGGTGTCTAGGAAAATATGTAGTTTACTTGGCAAAGTACTAATTTGACACTGAAGAGGAGGAAAATCCTAGAGTCACCTCTTCCCTGAGTTTCTGGCTAACCTTTGGAAAGTCACTAAGATTCTGTGCCTACCTGGTTCTGGCATTGAAATAAGTGACAAATCTATTCTCCCTCTATATATGCTCTATGTTCCACCAAGCACCGAGGGATGTGTGGCCATCTCTTCACTTCTTTCTATAATCCACCCCAAAGCAGCTGACAGGATACTTTAGGAGACAATCTCCTTTTCCTAGTCAATAGTTAGTGCTTCTGCTCCAGTAAGCATGTGGGAAATCCTTGGGACACATTGCTGTGATCTCAGGAAAATATCCAAGGTCCATAAGTGGTTTGTATGAAAGAGGGACATCTTCCACTCCAACTACAGGACAGGAGAAAGGGTGTGAGCACTCTGCCCTCCTGCTCACCTTGCCTATGCAATAAACTCCTCTCTACAAGTAACAAACACTCTGCTCGAACCTCCTAATTTGGAGAAACAGACTGATTATACGTGCAGAGCTCCAGGCTCCTTCGAAAATACATAAAGGGCCAGGTGTGGTGGCTCACGCCTGTAATCCCAGCACTTTGGGAAGCTGAGACAGGTGGATCACTTGTGGTCAGGAGTTCAACACCAGCCTGGCCAACATGGCAAAACCCCATCTCTCCTACAAATACAAAAATTAGCTGGGTGTGGTGGTGCAGGCCTGTAATCCCAGCTACTCCGGAGGCTGAGGCAGGAGAATCGCTTGAACCGGGAGGCGGAGGTTGCAGTGAGCCAAGATCACGCCACTGTACTCCAGCCTGGGGAATAGAGAGCGAGACTCAGTTTAAAAAAAAAAAAATACATAAAGTGAAAATTCTTTGAATGAGGGGTTTCACAGGTTCCCAGAATGACGTGATTTTATAGCCCATCTTTCCCTTTATAGTGTGGATTCTTTGACAGAGCCAGACCTCCTCAGGAGGACATGACCGACAGGGAACAGCTGACAAATGACAAGACCCCTGAGGCATGACAAGAAAAAAAAAGAAGACCAAAGACCTCAAACACTGGTCCTGTTCAAAGAAAAAGAAAGAACATGAGGGTTAAAAATCAAAGCTTTCTGATACCTGACAGTGACCCAGGAAATGGAGGGGACCCTGGAAACATCACCTCATCTACACCGCACTTTGGAGAAATTGTCCTGGGTGCCCAGTGAGCCCTGTTGGAAAAGGAAACACCAAAGCTGGAGAAGCCATCAGCAATTGTGGAAGATTTTCTTTTGCTTTAATCGTTCTGTACTTGGCAGACACTTTGAAATGCGTATGGGAACGTAAGTTGCAGTCCAGATCAATCCAGCATAAGTTGCAGAGATGAAATGTCTGAATCACTATAGAATTTACAAGGTGAACTAAGGTGAAATGACTGATTTACTATAGAACTTAGAACTAAGACCACACCATCCAACACTACTGTATCCAATGGAACATTTGACACCTCCCTATGGAAAAGAAACATTTCTAAGGACATTATGGCTCAGGGAGACAAGCAATATGTTGTTGGTACTGTGAAAGTACTTTTGAAAGGACAAAAATAATCTTGTGAGTGAGGGTGAGAGTTTATTTATTTATTTTCCATGTCTCTAGGTTGAGAATCTGTCATCTAGAGAATTTGGAAATTAAGATTTGGTTAGCTAGTTTTCAAAATCACTCACTCAGTTTCCTCCTAAGAACCACTGTGTGCAGATAACTCATTTAGCAGAGCTTCTTCAGAATTTAGACAGTGCTAAGGAAAGGAAGATTGGCATTAGGAATCAGTTCTATTTAATACCTTGCTGCCTTCCATCTGAAATTCCTTTCACTCACATTATCCAGGGACTCACATCTGCTTAATTTAGCTTTGCAAGATGTTGCATTTATATTTCCTTGTATATCTTTCCATTGACTTAGTTAATACATGAATTTCGAGGTACTCTCTACCTTTGGAGTGTTTAAAAGTCATGGTAAAATGTCTAGAGTTCATTAATTAAAAAGCAATTTAACATTATGGGTAAACATTATTTTTAATATCTATAAGAAGCAACACTTCTTATAGATATTTAGCTTGGGATTAAATACCCGTTTTTCCTGCTATGCCTTGTACTTGTATACACAGAGAAAACATGTTGAATATAACTTAGACAAAAACATAAAATTATACAGGCATGAGCCAAACTGGGAAAACTGATTCCTAAAGATTTTTATTTAAAATTGCTTATTCCAACTTTATTACTTATTTTTACTGCTAATCTTTATAATATGTAACTTTGGAGAATAATCTTTTATTTAAGCTATTTTCCCATCATCTTGAATTTAACCATCACAAATTTTTTATGTTTAAAACTCTTGTAAATAATTCATAATCTTGTAATATTATCATTTTTGAAGTAAAATTGACCAGCCAAATTTATAGGTAGTCTGCACAATTTTGTATCCTTTTTTAATAATGAAAAATTACTATGAAGAAATACTGAACAAATTTTTATGTGCAATATTTTATAGACCTATGTATCTGAAGCATGTTTACACTGGCGTTTTTTTTTTTAATTAATTTCCTAAATGTTAAGTATGATAGAACAAGCTGACCCAAATCCTTAAGTTTACAAAGCTGTTGGAAAACTTTGTGTCCTGATTTCAACAATCACGCTTTGTTTGAAAGATGAGCCAAGCTCACAGACACTAAATTTTATGTCATGCCATAAGCTGGAGAGGAGCCATTTGGCTACAGCTGCGGAACTTCATTGAGGAGCAAATGAAAGGCACATGGACGAGCACGCTGGTGCAGTTCATGTTCTTCCTGCCTGTGAATTGAATACTGTCCTGGTAGCAGTTTCGGGTCGGTCAGGAGCTCAAGGCTGGTTTGTGTGGCTGACTACGGATGAGCACTGAAGTTGCCTCAAAGAATTAAGGGGTGTCCACACCAGCCTCTGGGGGTCTTTGGTGTTAGTCTTCCAGGTAGAGCTGGTTTTACAAGTAGGTGGCCATCTACAGGATGTGATGTGAGCGATGCCAGACAGCTCTCTCTGACCCCAGGTAATGCCCTGAATCTGGTGATCCTGGCTGATCTGTGACCAATAGAGATTAGCTCCTTGGGATTTGGGGTCCTAAAAGGTCCCTGAAAAAATGCACCCCTTGTCTTTAAGCCAACATTGGTGAAGGAACTGAGAACTCTTAGGGTTACATAAAAAAAGACCCCTGTTGAGATAGTTTATGCAGATACCTGGAAGGAACTAGAGATGCCAGGAGGAAGACTGAGACCCAGAATGAAGCAAGGCATGAGGGCTCCAAAGTGAACTGCACCATCCCAGAGTCTCAGCCAAGATGGCCCTTTCCTAGAGGGACGGGCACCTTCCACCTGCCCACAGGCACTGCTACCTATGGGAATTGCAGAAGGCCGTTGTACACACGCGCATGCACGCAGTGGCCCTCTGCCCTTTAGAATATGGAAGCAAAGTCTGGGTGCAGTGACTCACACTTGTAATCCCAACACTTTGGGAGGCCGAGACGGGCAGATCACCTGAGTTCAGGAGTTCAAGACCAGCCTGGCCAACGTGGCAAAACCCCATCTCTACTAAAAATACAAAAATTAGCTGGGCGTGGTGGCAGTCTCCTGTAATCCCAGCTACCTAGGAGGCTGAGGCAGAGAGAGAATCGCTTGAACCCAGGAGGCGGAGGTTGCAGTGAGCTGAGATCGCGCGACTGCACTCCAGCCTGGGCGACAGAGGGAAACTCTGTCTCAACAAAAAAATAAATAAAATAAAAAATAAAAAAAGAATATGGAAGCAAATGGAGAAAGGGAGGAAACTGAGGTCAGGCAAACCTTCCAGCAATCCGTTCTGCCCAGAGAACATACTGACGACAGAGAACACACTGAGCGTTATCTGCTTCTAGTTAGAGCATTGCCGATTGCCTTCATAATTCATAATGTGCTGTGCTCCTCTGAGGGTCTATCTGTATTTCTCTTCAAAGAATTCCCTTTTTAAATTCTTGCAGCTGGGTTTTAAGACACAATAATGGGGCAAATTAAGTTTTATAAACTTGGAGATTTTTATACAGTAAATAAAAAAATAATATGTACTAGTCACCCCTGAAACTGCATTCTTAGAACTCGACTCTTGTTTTATTTAAATACGTGCGTAGATATCTGTGAAGATTTTCATGTACCTATTTACCTTGTCACTAATAAAATTAAAACTGAAAGACTTGATGGCATACTTTCGGTTTATTTCACATGAGACATAACTTTCCCTATTGTGGCCAGACATCAGAGGTTTCTGTCTCTACATCTTAATTCCTTATTAGAAAAACATTTAACATCGGGAGAAATTTAATAGAGCAAAAATGCAAAGCTCCCTGGGAGGATGAAAATGTTCTACTTAGATTTCAGTGATGTTTGTATTAAACTCCGTGAGTGGCCGGGCACGGTGGCTCACACCTGTATTCCCAGCACTTTGGGAGGCCGAGGCAGCGAATCATGAGGTCAGGAGTTCGAGACCAGCCTGACCATGGTGAAACCCCTCTCTACTAAAAATACAAAAATTAGCCGAGCATGGTAGTGCACATCTGTAATCCCAGCTACTCAGGAGGCTGAGGCAGGAGAATTGCTAGAACCCAGGAGGTGGAGGTTGCAATGAGCCGAGATCATACCACTGCACTCCAGCCTGGGCAACAGAGTGAGACTCCGTCTCAAAAAAACAAAACAAAACAAAACAACACAACTCCGTGAGTATAGTAAAAATTATTAAAGTGTATATTTTAAATGAACATGTTTAAGGTATGAGAATTACATCTCAATAAAGACATTAAGAATTTTTAAGTACCTTCTAGTACCTCCACTCTTATACAAGTGATTTCTCCACTGTAGATACATGTTAGCTCCTTTACAAAGCCTTCCCTTCATCTTTGCCTAACTGTACTCCATTCGCGTTTTGTGAATTTCCGTACTTTTCCATTTCTTCCCACGGCCACCTTCCGGCTGAGTGACCCCTCAATGAGAGCAGAAACCACATCATTTCCTCAGTATGTTTCGTATACCTGGCCAACACCTGTTATATAATCAGTGATCAAAACAATTGCTAGAATGAATGCATGAGTATATATACACGCATAGTCATAGTCATATGAACATGTGCTTTTGTCATTCCCTTTCATTACTAAGCACCAGCTACAGACAAATGTGTGTGCATCCTCCTATTTACAATGTTCATACAATGCGATTGTAATAGTAAATGTTCTGTTCAGTTAGTGAACCATGGTTCATTTAACCATCCCCCTCTTATTGGGAATAGCTGTTCACAGCTTCTTATATTAAGAACAGCATTACAAGTCCAGCACAGTGGCTCTGGCCTTAATCCCACTGCTGTGGGAGGCCGAGGCGGGCAGATTGCTTGAGTCCAGGAGTTTGAGACCAGCCTGGGGAACATGCCGAAACCCAGTCTCTACAAAAAATACAAAACATTAGCAGGGCGTGGTGGTGCATGCCTATAATTCCAGCTACTCAGGAGGCTGAGGTGGGAGGATAGCTTGAGCCCAAGAGTTTGAGGTTGCAGTGAGCCCCACTGCACCCCAGCCTGGGTGACAGTGTGAGACGGCCTCAAAAAAAAAAAGAAGAAGAATGGCATTAAATTGAATACTTTCGTTCTTACATACTTAGGGTTTCTTTTTTGTTTATTCCAATGAATGAATTTCTCAAGAATGAGATTGCTTGGTCAAAGTATATGAAGAGTTTTGTAGCTCTCGATAACATGTTGCTCTTAAAAGGACTAAGTTAGTTTGCATTAACCTAAGTGTACCATTTCCTTCTAATTATTTCAGCATGGTTTAAATAGTTTGGTAATTGTTTTCAAATGTTACCTTATATTAATTTATATTTTATTAGAATTTAGTAAATTTAATGTACACATTTAATTTTGAGTTCTAGTATTTATCAGCCACTCAATATAAACCAATTTATTGCTCATAACCCATAAGATATTTAAATACTTGCCACTTCTCTGGCATTCATGAATCCCAGTGAGAACAACTTATCTGGGTGTTTACCCTGTGCCCCACAGCAAGCAGTAGGATGAATCCTTCACTTTGTATTATATACCACTCGCACTTCAAAACCTACACCTGGCCAGGCACAGTGGCTGTAATCCTGTACTCCCAACACTTTGGGAGACTGAGGTGGGAGGAATGCTCGAGGCCATGAGTTTGAGAGCAGCCTGGGCAAAATGGTGAGCCCCCATCTCTACCAGAAAAAAAACATTTAAAATTAGCCTAGTGTGGTGGTGCATACCTGTAGTCCCAGCTACTCAGGAGGCTCAGGTAGGAGGATTGCTTGAGCCCGTGAGTTTGAGGTTGCAGTGAGCTAGGATCACTCCACTCTCAGTTCACTGCAACCTCCACCTCCCAGGTTCAAGCAATTCTCATGTCTCAGCTCCAGAGTAGCTGGGACTACAGGCACATGCTACCATGCCCAGCTAATTTTTTGTATTTTTAGCAGAGACAGGGTTTCGCCATGTTGGCCAGGCTGGTCTCAAACCCCTGGCCTCAAGTGATCCACCCACCTTAGCTTCCCAAAGTGCTGGGATTACAGGCGTGAGCCACCACGCCTGGCCTGATGCGGAAGAGCAAAGCACTCAATCCAGTATAAATCAGCCTGTGTGGGGCAAGATCTGCCTGAGACATACACAAAAAGGCTCCATCTTGGCCAGTCCCACTGATTAAAGCCTGTACATATTCATCGCAAAAAAGAAGAGGAACTCCTATGAGGTCTTTCATCATAGTCAAATGCTCTGCAGCTGGACAAATGAGGTGGGAGCTCAGTCTTCTCAACGAATTCTGTTGATTTCTTTGCCACTTCCCGTCATTTTATATGTAGACGCTTAACTGTGGCAATACTTCCTAAATGTTGAGTTGAGATTTGGGTTCCTAGACTGGGTGAAATGGACCTTGCAGAATTCTAACAAGGTAGAATTCTCTTGTGGATTGCACACTTCCTCTGAAAAAGTTGCATCATCCTCACAGGTTACCTGTAGAGGAAAGAGCATTCATTCTGGTGCCCACAGAAAGATCTAGAGCATGAAAACCTTTGGTTGATGTCCATAAATGCTAAAACAGTACCTCCCTAGGGTCTAATGTTCTTTTTCCCAAATATAGCAGACTTTCTACTCCAGAACTCTGATTACATTAAAATGTTGATTTCTTTAGCATGAGAAATTTAAAGCATTGAAACTTTAGGCTCATTTTGGGAGCCAAGTAAGACGATAAATGCCCCGGTGACACATAAGTCAATGGCACATTCAGGATGGCCAGCGTGTATTAGGTATAACTCTGCTTGCCATTTTAAATTCTCCCGACCCCCCAAATATCATCTACCTTTGGAATTACTTACGAGCAAGTTATCCATTATTTGTGATTACGGGCCAAAATCCATAAAGAAATGTAGCCTGACACCAGGACCTCCTGACAATAAAAAGTCTTGGATTTAACTTTTTTTTTTTTTTTTGAGACGGAGTCTTGCTCCGTCACCCAGGCTGGAATGTAGTGGCTTGCATGATCTCGGCTCACTGCAACCTCCGCCTCGTGGATTCAAGCAATTCTCCTTCCTCAGCCCCCTTAGTAGCTGGGATTACAGGCATGCACAAACATACCCGGCTAATTATTTTATTTTTAGAAGAGACGGGGTTTCACCATGTTAGCTAGGCTGGTCTCGAACTCCTGACCTCAGGTGATCCACACACCTCGACCTCCCAAAGTGCTGGGATTACAGGTGTGAGCCACTGTGCCCGACCGGATTTAACTTCTATTGGTGCCATGATATGACACAGTAGAAATGGCTCCTCATATTTCTGTGCTGTGGCTTGCTTTGATTGTGGATTGCATTGTAGAAACAACTAAGTCATTAGTAAATTGTTCTGCTAGCCAATCTTTGGGTGGGATTGATTTTTAAGCAGTAACAGTGGACTTTCCTGGATTTAAAGTTTTGTATTTCCACTTTCATTCACTTCATTGATTGAAAGGTACATGTATAACTATAATTTTTATTTCCATAAGGGTTTTTAATTTTTCAAAACTCCATAGTTTTCTTCCGTATTAGTTTTCTAGGGCTCCAAGTTCCACAAACTGGATGGCTTGAAACAACAGAAATGTATTGTCTCACAGTTCTGGACACCAGAAGCCCAAAATCAAGGTACTGGGGGAGCTGTGTTCTCTCTGAAGGCACTAGGGAAGCATCTGTTTCCAGGCATCTCTCCCAGCTTCTGGGAGTCTCAGGTGTTCCTTGGCTTGTAAACGCAGTACATGGATACTCCCTCATCACACCGTGTTCCCATGTGTCCTCACGTCATCTTCCCTCTGTGAGGACCTGGATCCATGTTTCCCCGTTTTATAAGGACATATAAATCATATTAAATTATGGTCAGCCCTAAATTTTCTCATTTCAACTTGATTACTTCTGTAAAGACCCTCTTTCCAAATGAGGTCCCATTCTGAGATACCAGAGGGTAGGACTTCAACATATCTTTTGGAGGGGACACAATTCAACTCATAACATCCCCCTAAAAGTGTATATTCTAGGTCGGACATGGCGATTCCTGCCTATAATCCCAGAACTTTGGGAGACTGAGCTGGGAGGATCACCTGAGCCCAGGAGTTCAAGGCTGCAGTGAGCTATGATTGCACCACCGCACTCCAGCCTGGGCAACAGAGCAAGACCCTGTTTCTAACAATAAAAATAAAATTCCTAAGTATGTGAATTAAGGATAGGATGAAGATTTTAAAGAGGATATCTTTACATCAGTCTATTGATTTCTACTCACCCAGGTAATATGCTTGTGTTTGCTGAGTGCATAATAGATTTATACATGTTTATGTTTTCCCTTCACTTACTACCTGTATGCACATATTACAAGATTAAGGCGGTTGCATTTTTCATATAATTTACTCATCTGCTTTGTCTTGCTTTGCAATTTCTTACTACCAGCAGCCATATTCTCTTTCTCCATTTCTCTTGTCCCTTGAAATAATCATTTTATTCTCACGGGCAATAGGCATAAATATGAGTTTTATGATATATGTGAGTAGATTCCTCGCTGGTTATAACCCAAAGGGTGCTGGTCACTGAGTTAGTGGGAAGCAGAGAGGAAGTCCCTGTATTTGGGCTGTAGGGCTTGGTCCCTAGCCCACTATTAACACAGAGAAGACATTGTTTAAATCTCCAGTGACCCAGTGGTGGAAAAAACAGTTGCCACAGTGGGTGACAGAATAAAGAAAATAAAGATAATGAACATTCTCTGGGCATATATTTGTATGTGGCACTGGGCCACACACTTGTGGTAGAAGTGAATTTACCAAGCATAAATAGGCAGGGCCCTTGGTGCCACTGGTGAGAGTGAACTGTGCCTGCCCACAGACATCGCCATGGTCTCACAGGTTGGGCAATTGGCTTGCAGGTCCCCTAAGCTACCCTTTTCTCTTGCTTCCACCCCACCTATCTGCTCTTCCCACTGCCTTCTTTCCCAGTATTGATTGGGGAATTTCCATTGATTTATATGTAAGGAGTGGCTCCAGCTCCAGGTGGAGGGCACTGAATATTTCCCTTTGGCCAGTGGCCTCTCACCCCACACTCAGGTCAAGGAGTTTCTCTGGGCCCGTGAGCCCCAGGCATCAGTGATACTGGCTGCATTTCATCATTGAGAGAAAAACAACAAAAATAGGAGATGCCTCAACCACACCATGCAGGGAATAGCTGAGTCACCTGGGGTTGATTAACCTGAAGAGGAGAATGTCTGGGGGAAACACTGACCCAGGTCTCTAACGGACTGTTCTGAGGAAGAGGAAGTAAAGTAGGAAGGAGTTGAGGATGGCATCATAAAAGCAACATTAATAGCAATAAGAATGAAAATGCGGCCAGGCACGGTGGCTCACACCTGTAATCCCAGCACTTTGGGAGGCTGAGGCGAGTGGATCACAAGGTCAGGAAATCAAAACCATCCTGGCTAACAAGGTGAAACCCCATCTCTACTAAAAATACAAAATATTAGCCGGGCGTGGTGGCGGGCGCCTGTAGTCTCAGCTACTCGGGAGGCTGAGACAGGAGAATGGCCTGAACCCGGGAGGCGAGCTTGCAGTGAGTCGAGATTGCGCCACTGCACTCCAGCCTGGGTGACAGAGCAAGACTCCGTCTCAAAAAAAAAAAAAAACAAAAAAAAACAAAAAGAAGCGGAAGAATGAAAATGCATTAGGCATCCACTCTGTATGAAGCCCTCCACTAAGTAGTTTATGTGCATCTTCCATTTAATCCTTAACACAACCATACAAGACAGATACTGCCCAAGAAAAATTTATTCTGACACTTATTAAGATGGTAAGGCAGATTTTATTCAGGACCATCACCGTAGGTGTAGGGGCCATGGCAATGGGGTTTTGTAATAGGTAAAAAGATTGGGCTCAACTTTGAATACAGCAAGGAAAAGTGGGGATTATAGACAAAGAGTAGGGTGGGGGTTGGTGGATGGAAAATCACAAAGAGGAAACCTCAGGGTCAGGGGTGATTCCTGCTAAGGCTGAGGCAGTCAAAGGTAATCAGACATCACCTGGGGCATGGTGACGGGGGAGGAATTTGGTCAGATGTAAACGATGGGAGCTCTTTCCAAATGAACTTAGGATTCTTGCTAAAATGGGATACTACAAGGACAAAGATGAAAGCCCAGGTTTGGCTCTGGTCGAGGAGAGGGCTCAGAGGAGCCTGACAAAAGTTTGTCCAAGGAAAGAATTTTTGCCAATATGGAATTGATCCCTGTTTTGCTGATGAATCGCAGGCTAGACAGAATACGTAGCTTCCTCTGATGGTTTGCCCCATAGCAAATGGCAGAACTGACATTCAAATCTAGGTCTGCCTAATTCCAGAGACCAGGATCCTACAAGCTGCCACAGGTAACAAATATGGAGAATTCCCACTCGACTCATGTTGAAAGCAGGGGAAGAACCGTTTAAAATAATGAGGTTGAAATGGTTTGCCACGACCTCGATGATCCCTTTTAAATTCTCCCAAAATCAGAGAATAAAAGGAGCTAAGATCTGCGAAGGGCTCCTAGATACAAAAGTACA
This sequence comes from Homo sapiens, assembly GCF_000001405.40. Classification (NCBI taxonomy): domain Eukaryota; kingdom Metazoa; phylum Chordata; class Mammalia; order Primates; family Hominidae; genus Homo; species Homo sapiens. Next base: position 15,507,061 of record NC_000010.11, on the reverse strand, counting down.
AAGCTGAATCCTTCCTTTAGTTTACAAAGAGTTGGGAATGAGAACCACAGACATTTTGTCCCCCTCTATTTTCAAAATTCTATTTAGATTCATGCACATGATTAAACATTCTCAACATTCTCCGACACCTAAAAACTTTGATATATGCTGATATGGTTTGGCTGTGTCCCCACCCAAATCTGATCTTGCATTGTAGCTCCCATAATTTCCATGCGTCGTGGGGGGGACCCAGTGGGAGGCAGGTCTTTCCCCTGTTGTTCTCATGATAGCAAGTAAGTTTCATGAGATCTGAAGGTTTTGTAAAGGGGAGTTCTCTAGCACATGCTCTCTTTGCCTGCCACCATGTGTAATACGTGACTGTGCTCCTCATTCACCTTCTGCCATGATTGTGAGGCCTCCCCAGCCATGTCTGTGAGTCAATTAAACCTCTTTCCTTTATAAATTACCCAATCTCGGATATGTCTTTATTAGCAGCGTGAGAACAGGCTAATACCTATGCTATTTAATTTTCAACATATCTCCATAGAGAAACTGGTGCTTTAGGTCATCTGCTAAGGTTGGAACTGACTCCCAAGGCCGTGGGATTTCAGAATTTTAGAACAGTGTATTTAAAATCATTTTCCTTACACCAAAAAGCTACTTCTTAGAAGCCTAAATGGCAGAAAAAACTTCATTTGTCAAATCAAAAAATCTTGCCTTTCTCTGTTTCATTTTAGGAAACTACAACCTCATATAACTAACTGGGATGCAATGGCCCCAAACAATTGCTGTCTAAAGATCTCCTTACTTAGGGGATTAATCTAATAGTTTTTTTAGTCTTCTTTAAACTAGAAACTATTAAGGATTAACCCAGACAAATAGAATTCAAATTTAGTCCTTAACCTAGGAGGTCTGTTAATTTGCATCAACAGCAATCTCTGTTCATATGTAATTCAGGTTATGTGATGTTGAAACGTTATACATTTGTTTTGAATCAAGATGCTGTGTGTAGAATTAGAAGAATGGATTTCTTCTAACTCCCCTGTAGGGTGGAGAGAGGGAAAAGATAATCATCGTTTCTGGCTTGAATACTGGGTCAGAGAAAGAAAGGTGATGGTGTGGTTTTGCCTGTTGTGGGATGTGAAGCCATCTTGGGACTGACAGCATTTCATTATGGTTGGACAGAAAGAGAGGGAAATACAGACAATATTCTTCTTTCTCTTTATGAAGACCTGACTGTCTTAAGAATTAATATTTATCCTTAGGACTTTAGAGGAATATGTGTGAAGGGTGTGTGTGTGTGTGTGTGTGTGTGAGAGAGAGAGAGAGAGAGAGAGTGAGAGAGATAATATGTATGTGGAGAAAGAAAAAGTTTGTGATGCATGCTCATGGAAAAACCTCAAAGATGTCACATGGGAAGTCAAAACGTACCATCAAGCATCCTAAGGAACATTCTACCAGCCTAAATGCTCAGGTGTGAGGAAATGTAGAGCTTTGGAGAGGAATGGACTGACTCTAAGGAGAGGTCTGGTGAGAGAGGAGGGAGTTTCCCTCAATGCAGATGAAAGTTACAGCATGGAGACTGAAAAAAGGCAGGTTTATACAGGGACAGAGTCAAGGACAGGGGAGCCATGAAGAAGAGAAATCCCTGCAAAGAGCTTCAACCCGTGGACAATGGGGAAGTCATACGTAGCATGAAGGTTAGAACTTTTTTCCTCGTGTGTTGCAATGCCTTTCAACGATCTCATTTAGGAGAACTGGATATACCCTTAAATGGTAGGTTGTATTAGCAGCCCCAATCCTTCACTTTCCCCTTTATCTAAGCCCTTGGCCACATGGCTTTGCTGTTCCTCCCATCAAAAGACCAACTAGCTTTCCCTGACCCTTGCTTCTGAGTTCAGCCACATGGCATGCTCTGGCCAGTGGGATATTAGCAAATGGAAAGCAAATATGTTGGAAAAAGCACATGCACAATGAAACCTGGTCTCCTTCACCTCTACTGTCACCATGAGAAGGATACGCCAGGGCTATGCTGCTTGTCCTAGGAGGAGAATAAAAGTTAGAGGTACAAGGAGCAGAGCCACCTCCTCCCAAGTCCAGTATAGATCAGCTGATCCCCTGGCAGCCTGTAGACTCCACATGAGTTATCATGATTTTTAAAATCTGGTCTTTCTGACCCATCTCTGTTAGGTATTTTTTTCGTCAAAATACCATTACCCTTATATGTTCATCCCAGGGTCAGGAGATAAAGCCCACTCTATCAAGTACTTATCACTGAACTTGCAATTCAGTCTCTCCCACTTTTGAGTTCACATAAGAAAAAAAAAAAAAAACCTCCTTTAATAGTTTCACTCAAGACAAAAATTATGAGGAGGTGGGAGGAATGAAGGGTTACATCTGGAGAGAGTTAAGTTGTGTGGCCGCAAAAGCAGCTGAGAAGATGTCATGCGGTGATTTCCCTCGTGTGACCATTTTGCTTTCGCTTGGAAATGGGCATGTTTTCTAACGGTTGTGGGTTTTATTGAGACAGAAGGAAAACACTGTGTGTTCAGAGAGGAAATTCGACAGTTTATTTAGGCTGTTAAACCACTTTTGCCCTAAATTTATTGACCAGGAAGATCCTGTTAACTAAAATTGGGAGATCTTAAGGAAACCCTAAATCTTGTATAGCAGTTACCGGGTACACACAGAGCTTTTGATGAGATTTCATGGAGAATATCTTTTAAAGGGTTTGAAAATGTAAGTCTTCATATATCATTCCCCTGTGGTGTCTGCTCTGATAATCCAGGCTGATGTCATAAAGAGACGGTGACTAACAGCCTTGAGTGTTGCCAGCGACTATCATCCCCCAGCCTCCGTGCCTTTATTAAAATCATCAGAATTTGTCATTCTTTCTCTCTCATCTGTCTACCTGCACCATTTGATTAATGATAAATAATACTTCTGGCACATAAAATCATTTTGATTTAATACTCCCATCAGAGTATAAAATAGTATTAAATTCCCATCAGAGTATAAAATAGTATTTTGTCTATGCTAAAACATGACCTGCTATGCAAATCACTGCCCCCAGTTGCTTCAGAGAAAAAAAAAAATGCTAAAATGTTTTAAACTCTTTTTTAGGCTTGACCAAAGATTGTTTAGGGACAGTCTTTTATTTAGAAATAAGTTAGGATTGCCTGTAATCCCAGCACTTAGGGAGGCTGAGGTGGGAGGATGACTTGAGCCCATGAGTTCGAGACCAGCCTGGGCAACATAGCAAGACCCCCATCTCTATTAAAATTTTTTTTTTAATTTCTAAATGTAATAAGTCAGACTCCAAGAAGCCAATGGCTATCTGTTTTGCCTCTTCCCCAGTTCCACACAGGATTCAGCTCAGCCGGCCATTCGGTCGTTCTGGAAATAGTCTCATCTCTTGGCTTTTACATCAGCACATTCACCTTCTGCTCACCATTCTGCCTGGGTCTCTTTGTTGGTCTCCTTCTCCACTGGTCGGTTTCCAAATGTGAAGCTCTGTCATGCTCCATCCTAGGCTCTCTCATTGACTATGTTTACACTCTGTCTGCATCACCACCGCAGGTCCGTGGACTTAGATACCATCTCGATGACAATGACTCCAATTCTCTACCTCCAGTCATGCCACGGTAGGTACATCTGTCACCCCACTGTCCCCTCAACATCTGCACTTGGACATTTTTTTTTTTGACAGTCTTGCTCTGTTGCCCAGGCTGGAGTGCAGTGGCATAATCTCGGCTCACTGCAACCTCTACCTTACGGGTTCAAGTGATTCTCCTGACTCAGCCTCCCAAGTAGCTGGGATTACAGGCACCCACCACCATGCCTGTCTAATTTTTGTATTTTCAGTAGAGATGGATTTCACCACATTGGCCAGGCTGGTCTTGAACTCCTGACCTCAGGTGATCCACCTGCCTTGGCCTCGGCTGGGATTATAGGCATAAGCCACTGCACCTGGCCAGCATTTTAGATTTTACATATTCAAAGTATACTATGAAATTATCTTATTCACTTTATGTTTGTTTCGACCCTCACCCCAACAGCAAGGACCATGCCTATTGTTTTCACCACAGTTTCCTCAGCAAGTAAATCATTATTTTGCACATACTAAGGAGTTCAACAAATATCTGTAAACTGAATAAATATTTTTGTAAAAAAGAACATCTTCTACTTTTTTTTGAAACAGAGTCTCGCTCTGTAGCCCAGGCTGGAGTGCAGTGGCGAGATCTCTGCTCACTGCAACCTCTGCCTCTCAGGCTCAAGCAATCCTCCTGTCTCAGCCTCTTGAGTAGCTGGGACTACAGACATCCACCACCACACCCGGCTAACTTTTCTATTTTTACTACAGACGGTGTTTCACCATGTTGGCCAGGCTGGTCTCGAACTCCTGACCTCAAATGATCTGCCCATCTCAGCCTCCCAAAGTGCTGGGATTACAGGCATGAGCCACCGTGCCCAGCCACAAACATCTTCAATAAGTCAAATAGTGTATGATTCCACTTATATGAAATACCTAGAGTGGTCAAATTCATAGAGACAGAAAAAGAAAGTGGTAGTTACCAGGTGCTGGGAGAGGGAGAATAGGAAGTTAGTGTTCAGTACGTGCAGAATTTCAGTTGAGGATGATGAAAAATTTCTGGAGGTGGATGGTGATGATAGTTGCCCAGCAGTGCCGGTGTACTTAATGCCATTGAACTGTGAAGTTAAACATGGATTAAAATGGTAAATGTTATATATTTTTTACCACAATTTTAAAAAAGCTTCATCAGTATTGAAAATCTGCTGAGGCAAATAAATCTCTTCATTGGTGACATCCACAAAGATCACAGAAAACTCCTTAATAGCTCCAATAATTTTGCTACCTCATCACCAAAATAGACCTTGATCCAATGGACATGACCATGGGTTGCCATAAAAATTATATCGGCAGGACTTTCAAGGTATTAATAATTTTTAAGTTCTTCAACAAATTGCTAGCCTTCCGAATTAATGTTAGGTTACTAGGCATCTATTTTTCAGACTAAATATTCTAGTCAATCACTCTTTAATTTTAATTTTCTCAATCACTTTTCATCTTTTCTTGCTAATTTTGTAGATTGCAAGGGCATGAACTTGTCACACATTGTAGGATTCTCTTTCTCCTTCAGAATCATGCCAGCTCCCTAATGATTCATCCAGTATGTGTGCGCAACTTTGGTCCTTTTCTCACCATTTTCTTGCAGTTTTTTTTTCTCGAGAATATTCTTGCACCATAAATGCATGCCTTTCCTCACTAGTGTTTTGAGCATGTCAGGATTGATAATGTCCCAACACACCTGAAAATGAAGCCAGAGTGGAAGAAACACAATTAGACAAACGATCAAAGCGAGACTCGCAACATCTGTGGCTGCACGGATGAGTCGATGTATTCTGGAAGGACAAACTGGTGGCCTGGAGCCACAGTGAAGCCGATGAGCATGGCTTTTGTTGTTTGTTTAGGATTTATTTCACCCACATAGTATTTTTTTTTATTTTAATTTGAATCCTATAGGTAAAGCTTCAGAGCTGTAGATAAACGTGTGGATTTCTGGCCTCTGCTGGAAACCTAAAAGATCAGCAATGGAGTTTACATTCTACTAGAACAAGCACTGGTCCTGAGTGGCAGGGGACCTAGACAGGCGTGGGCTTTCTGATCAACCACAGTCCCCATCCAACCCACTTCACTCGTTACCTGCCTGGCCATGGTGGGCGCTTGAATTGGTGAGTCTGGCCTTTGTAAGGGAATGACAGCCTTAAACCTAGAATGAAGTCTCCTACAAGAGGCTCCCACACACACAATCAGAGAGAAAATGTTACTCTTTGATGCTGAATAACTCAGTGATGAGATAAGCCTCAACTGAGAAAAGCCACTGGTGTGTCAAAATGCAAGTTGGTGAGTTTCAAAGAAATAGATTAGTTAAATATTGAGAAAATCAAGCGAAATTATTTAGTGAAGACAAATCATTAGAAAATTTATTGCATTTTAAAAATGACCTCCTGGTAATACTTAAAACTTTTCATAGCTAATGTTTTCAAATGATGAAGGTTTCATTATGCTAAGCAAGATTATAATGTGGAACATTCAAAGACAGAATTAAGATGTGTTGCAGCATACTTCCATCACAGGGTACTGTCTTTCTAATACAGTCTTGATGTTAATAGTCATGTAATGTCAAGCAGACAACCTGACTCTATAGAGCTATAACTGATGCTGTTAGGGTTGGAAGTATTTAACAGAGGTTTTTACAAAGATGAAAAAGTAACTGAGAATGGCTATGATGAGAATATATACAGTGTATTATATACATATATATCTACAAACACACATTGTATTAGTCCATTATCACATTGCTTTAAGGAAATACCTGAGACTGGGTAATTTATAAAGAAGAGAGGTTTCATCGCCTCAACGGTTCTGCAGGCTGTGCAGGAAGCATAGTGGCATCTGCTTCTGGGAGACCTCAAGAAGCTTCCAATCATGGTGGAAGGTGAAGGAGGAGCAGGCGCATCACATGGTGAAAGGAGGAGCAAGAGAGAAAGAGGGCTAGGGGCCACAGTTTTAAACAGCCAGATCTTGTGAGAAGTCACTCACTATTGTGAGGACAGTACCAAGAGGATAATGCTCAATCATTCATGAGAAATCCACCCCGTGATCCAATCACCTCCCATCAGGCCCCACCTCCAACATGGGGGATTACAATTTGACACGAGATTTGGGTGGGGTAAATATCCAAAGTATATCACACGTACACGTAAACATGAACTATAAAAGACATAGAGTTATTTCTATCACTTTCCTATGCCTCCTCACTAAAACTTGATGATATAATTGGAAAAGCAAAAGTAACTGGCTCATGCAGAAAAAGGAATTTATTGACTCATGTAATAGTAAAATTCAAGAGCGGCTTGGTCCGAAGACCCAATCTGTCGCCCTCTCTTGGCTCTGAGCTCCTCCATGTTGCCTTCAGTTTTAGGCTCTCCATGATGGTGGGACGGTTCCCACATCTCCAGAGTTCAAGCCTACAAGCCTTGCTCCCCAGGATCCCAGAGAAAAACACTTTTACTTTTAAAGGACACAAATCTGACCAACCCTTAACTAACAACTTTGACCAGGCAAATACAACATTCCCAAGGGCCACGTCTGAATCACATGCTCACATCCAATATGAAGAAGGAAACTGACTTTACACAAAGTACCTGCAGGGCTGAAAAAGGGAGTTCCCCAAAGAATAATGAGGGCACTGTTCACAGGAGACAGGTGAAAACTAACAAATATCTACTACATAGAGGGATTACTATTACTGCTATAACAAATCACCACAAAGGTCGTGACTTTAGACAACACAGATTTATTATCTCCTGGCTCTACAGGTCAGAAGTCCTCAATGGGTTTCACTGGGCTACAGTCAAGATGTTCGCAGAACTGGGTTCCTTCTGGAAGCTCCAGAGGACAGCTGTTTCCTTGCCTTTCCACCATCCAGGGGCTGCCCGGATTCCTTGGCTTGTAGCCTCTTCCTTCATTTTCAAAGCCAGCAAACCTTCAAATTTCTCTCTGACTCTGACTCCCTCTTCTGCCTCCCTTGGTTAATTTAAAGGACTTTTATGATTACATTGGGCTTATCAGGAAAATCCAGGATAAACTCCTTAATGTAAGATCAGCTAATTAGCAACCTTAGTTCCATCTGAAACTTTAATTCCCCCTTTACACAGATATCTTTAGCAGGCTATTATTTTGCCTACCACAAGGTGTGAACTGAATTAATTACCTTCTGTAATCTCAGGGTGATCTAACTAACCCTACAGCGTGTGCTCAGGATTCCTTCATTTTTTCAGAGTCTTTTGTGCTAAATCCTTTCTTGTGAATTCATTCACTCATTCATTTAATAAATAGCCATTGAGTAACTACCACAGGCCAAGCACTGCTTAGGAACTAAACATAGACTGGTAAAGAAGATGTTCCCTGCTCTTACAGAGTTTACAATTTCGTGGATGAACAAACTACAAATAAGCTAACCAGGAACTAATATTTAAATACTTCATTATTATTTATTTCTATGGAGGCTTTATTTTTCTCCTAATTGGCTTGACAAATATTGGCTGTGTCTTGGAAATTCTATTGCTCTTTGTTCTTCTAACTGAACTCTCTGTACATTCCCTGCAGGTGATCAGGACACTGAAGGAGGAGACGGCCTTCACTAAGACCTGATGGATGGGAAATGGCACCTTCTGCCTAGAGTCCAGCAGGAAGACATTTCCATGGCGCAGAATCAGGTGTCTCATGACTCTCCACATAAACCCCTAAACGACAACACCGCCCCTGTCCCACGCTCCCCGCCTCCCACCAGAGCAGCCGATCAAGGGTATTTACATTTTGTTTTTTGTTTTTGTGTTTTTTTGAGATGGAGTCTTGCTCTGTCACCCAGGCTGGAGTTCAGTGGCACAATCTCGATTCATTGCAACCTCTGCCTCCTGGGTTCAAGTGATTTTCCTGCCTCAGCCTCCCGAGTAGCTGGGATTACAGGCATGCATCACCACGCCCAGCTAATTTTTGTATTTTTAGTAGAGACGGGGTTTCACCAGTTGGCCAGCTGGTCTCGAACTCCTGACCTCAAGTGATCCACCTGCCTCGGCCTCCCAAAGTGCTAGGATTACAGACATGAACCACTGCACCTGGCCGGTATTTACATTTTAATCACTTCCTGCTAAGTTCATGGCAGTTGAATCAGTAGGAAGTACCAAACTGCCCAAAACAAATTAGAGGGAGAAATGGACAGTTTTTATAAGTCAGTTAAATGAGAAATAAGGAGATAACCACAATTGTGTAGGACGGATTTCCACTCCTTAACTATTATCCACCTATAATTAATATACCATAATAGAAGGTGCACTAAGTTGCTAATTCAACCTTTCTACTGTTTTATCTTGGCCAGGTCTACAGCATGGTGTCTTGATTTATAGGAGGTAGATAAAAATATGGCCATCCTTCACACGGCTGTAACGAGGCTATTTTTAAAAGAATTTAAAGCATGGGGCAAATCTTAGGACCCGGGTCAAAGGGTTTTGTATACAATCACTAAAAATTCTTCCAAAGCTTCTGTAGTTTAAGCCACATTTTATTCTTGTTATCGCACTAGAATCATAGGTTCCTGAAACACAGGACATTGAAAAACTTCTTTTAATTATGTGTTGACAGTAGCGCCATCCACTCCCTCCTTCTCCAAGATTCTTTCTTCTTCCCCCAACAGAAATAACACAAATATTCATCCTGGGAGATCATGTCATGTTCTAACACATGGCCACAAACTTTAAATCTCAGCTAAACACTCCAGAGTGTCAAAACAACTAGCAATTGCTGAAACAATTAACTTCCTCCCCAAATGGGTGAAAAAATTAGAGTGGCCATGAATGATAGATTTCATTCAGTATGTCCTTATTCACAGATTTTTGGCTAAATTGATATCAAATTCTATGGTATGTGTCAGGCTTGCCGGCTTTCCTTCCATATGAAACCTTGTCGTTTCACATTTCATTCATTTCATTCCTGCAGGACACTTAGAGAACATTCAAAAGATTGGACTGACATGAGTTAAAAGAAGGATTATTTACAGAGGACAAATCTGTGGCCAGTCAGAGAAAGAGCAAGTGGAATCAACACTCTGACCTTTCTCTCATTCTGTCTTCTGGTCTCCCACCAATACCTGTCATTGGTCAGACTCAAGCAGATGACAGAGGCCAACACAGGCCAACGTAGTCAGATGCCTGGTGCACAGAACAGAGTATGTGCAATGGTCAACCGGGTGTGGGGTGGAAGCCATTCACCAGCTCAGCAACATTGACTTTTCCTCCCCAAGACTGACCAGGCTACCACCACTGCAGAGTGCCCACCCAGCCAACAGAGACCAAGCAAGCCTCTGGCATGGCAACATTCCAGAGGGGGACCAGCCAGCCTGTAGGTAGACACTATACATTGGGTGCCTCTTTCATAGAGTGGGTAGAGTTCTATTCCACACTACACACAAAAATGGATTCTAAATGGATTAAACAGTGGGGAAATGCAACATAGGTAGTAAAATGAAAAGAATTTGTTCATAAATAAACTTAAGACAGAGAAGGCCTCCTTTGGAAAAGACATGACATTCGGAAGCTTTGAAGAGAAAGATTGATAGATTTTACTATTCAAAAATTTCAAACTTGCAGCCAGGAGCAGTGTGTCAGGCCTGTAATCCAAGTACTTTAGGAGGCTGAGGCAGGAGGGTTGTTTGTGGTCAGGAGCTCAAGATAAGCCTGGACAACATAACAAGAACCCATCTTTAAAAAAAAAAAAAAAAAAATTTCCTGTTATAGTGCTGCACACCTGTTATCCCAGCTACTCAGGAGGCTGAGGCAGGAGGATTGCTTGAGTCCAGAAGTTGGAGGCTATGGTGAGCTATGAACATACCACTGCACTGTAGCCTGGGCAACAGAGACAGACCCTGTTTCAAATATATATATATGCTTAAACTTAAACTTGATTAATACTAAAGGCAGCACAAAGTTGAAAACAAACAGCAGATAGGAAGATATTTACAACAAGTAACAATAATACAATAACTGCTTCAAATGCTGCTAATTATGTGCCAGATGCCAACCTAATGTGTCCTTATTCATTTACTCCTACAACAGGGTGAAGTAGACACTATTATTATCCTTCTCACTTTTCAGGCTAGGAAACTGAGATACAGAGAGATTGAGTCACTTGGCCAAGATCACACAGCTAGTAAGTGGCACAGCCAAGATTAGAATCCAGACAGCCTCACTTCATGGACTGTGCTCATAACCCATACCCGATGCCACCTCTCATTTTTCTGGGGGGTTGGGTGAATGGAGTCTCACTCTGTTGCCCGGGCTGGAGTGCAGTGGCTCGATCTTGGCTTCCTACAACCTCTGCCTCCCAGTTTCAAGCCATCCTTCTGCCTCAGACTCCTGAGTAGTAGGTACTACAGGTGTGAGCCACCACACCCAGAATTTTTGTATTTTTAGTGGAGACAGGGTTTCACCGTGTTGGCTAGCCTGGTCTCAAACTCCTGACCTCAAGTGATCTGCTCCCCTCAGCCTCCCAAAGAGCTGGGATTACAGGCATGAGCCACCACTCTTGGCCCTCTCTCATTTTTTTTAATGCTACCTAAAAGAGACCATGAATTTTTATCCACAATATATAAAGAAATCCCAAAATCAATAAGAAAAAACAAAGAACTCAATAGAAAACTCAGCAAAGATTCTTACTGGACAATTCACAGAAGAGAAAATTTAAATGACCAACAAACATACGAAACCTCACTAGTAATTAAGGATATGCAAATTTTTTTAATGAGACATCATTTTTTTACTCACTACATTAGCAAAAATTAAAAGAATGTTATCGCGCATTGGCAAAGAAATAGTCACTCTCATAGACTGTGGGTTGGAATACAAATTGGTAGAGCTTTCGTGGTAGTATATAATAAAATGTTAAATATCTATTAGCTGGTGACTTAGCAGAGCCCATTGCCTAATATCTAATCTACATAAATATGGGCGTGTGTATACCAAGATATCTCTGTCATCTTACTTGTAATAATAAGATTTTTGAGCCACCTAAAGTCAATTAGTATTGACAGTTTTTTTAAAACGTGGTACAGTTTTTAAAGAGGGGATTACTTAGCAAAGTTTCCACACCCACACATCCACAGCTTTGCTTGCTCAATACAGCCTTGAGATGTGTTTTGTTTGACCGTGGCATTTAACACAATTTTGAATTTGGAAGCCTTTACTGGGACACAATCTCCATTTTCTCATGGGTCCCATCCTTTCTAATTGTCTTTTATTTATGATGCCTCCCTAGCCTCTGAGTGCATTTGAGCTTGCAGTGCCCAATTAAACCCTAAGTACATAACCAAAAAGGAGCTTAAAACTCTTCAAGAGTCTTGGATTCAATATAAACACTCTGCAATAGTTCAGAAGCCTGAGAGGCAGTACCACATGGTACTCATAGACTCTTAACCTCATAGACGCTGAAACTCATAGACTCTTGAGCTCATAGACTCTGAAGTCAGACTGGCAGTCCTCAAATCCCAACTGCACCATTTACTATCTGTGTCACTGGAAACCCCTGAATCTCTCTGTGCCTCAGTGTCATCTGAAAGGCAGAATTAACAACACCCCCTTTGTTGTGAGAATTAAATAAGTAGTACACGTGAAGTTCTCAGAACAGTGCTGTACACATACAAAGTGTTCAATAAATGTTAGCTGTGGCTACTATGGCTGTTATAAGTAACAACATGGAAAGATCTCCGAAACACATATTTAAAAAAAAATGCATACAAACACTGTCGTGAGCATACACAATATGATTGCTATTATAAGTACACCTAGGCCAGGTGCGGTGGCTCACGCCTGTAATCCCAGCACTTTCAGAGGCCGAGGCGGGTGGATCGCCTGAGGTCAGAAGTTCAAGACCAGCCTAGCCAACATGGTGAAACTTCGTCTCTAGTAAAAAATACAAAAATTACAGGGGCATGGTGGCGCATGCCTGTAGTCCCAGCTACTCGGGAGGCTGAGGCAGGAGAATCGCTTGAACCCAGGAAGCAGAGGTTGCAGTGAGCTGAGACTGTGCCACTGCACTGCAGCCTGGGCGACAGAGCGAGACTTCATCTCAAAAAAAAAAAAAAAAAAAGATACACGTACATGTACGTATACACTTATGCATAAATATACGGGAACATAATGGATCACTTTGTCTTTAATAATAGTCTTTAATCCTTTTTGGAATGAGGTATAGTTAGAAAAATAAGTTATGGGCTAGGCACGGTGCCTCACACCTATAATCCCAGCACTTTGGGCAGCTAAGATGGGTAGATCACTCGAGCCCAGGAGTTCAAGACCAGCCTGTGCAACATGAGCAAGCCTCATCTCTAGTAAAAATACAAAATATTAGCTGGGCATGGCGGCACACACCTGTGGTTCCAGCTACTTGGGAGGCTGAGGTGGAAGGATCACCTGAACCTGGGAAGTCAAGGCTGCAGTGAACCATGATTGCACCATTGCATTCCAGCCTGGGTGATGGGATTGAGACCCTCTCTAAAAAAAACAAAATAAAAATAAATTATGTTCAAACTTTATATAGAAAAAAAGAACCGGAAAAAATACATCAAAACATTCACCAAAGGATGAGTTAATTTTGCTTATTTTTTTCTTTTTCTTTTCCAATTATTCTTTTAGACGTGTGTTAATATATTAGCTTCACAACAAAAAAATTAAATACCATTTTTTAAGCAAACACACTGATAACATATAGTAATAATGACATTTGAAAACAAAGAACTTTTCTCAGCCCTGATAGTTTTCATGCTATAAAATTAACTTTTGCAGACCTTCCTCCTTTACCTCTTTAAAAACGAGGCAGAAAGATCTAAAAACAATAACAAAAATGCCTGCTCATGAATAAAGATTAAAGAACTTAGAATCGTTTTGTTTGGAAGGAGGCAGAAATTACTTAGCAAAGGTCCTAAACCCACAGCTTTACTTGCTCATTACAGCTTTGAGACATATGTTTTGTTTGACCATGGTATGTAACATGATTTCAAATTTGGAAGCCTTTACTGGGGCACACAATCTCCATTTTCTCATGGGTCCCATCATTTCTAATTGTCTTTTATTTATGATGCCAGCCTAGCCTCTGAATACATTTGAGCTTGCAATATCCAATTAAACCCTAAGTACATAACCAAAAAGAAGCTTTGAGTTCTTCAAGAGTCTTGGATTCAATATAAAGAAATAGTATACAGTTCTAAAGCAATGAAAGCCTTCAAAGTCCCATTCTTGGCAACTTTTGTTTTTTTTTGAGACAAAGTCTCACTCTGTTGCCCAGGCTGGAGTACAGTGGTAAGATCTCAGCTCACTGAAATCTCCACCTCCCGAATTCGAGTGATTCTCCTGCCTCACCCTCCCAAGTAGCTGGGATTACAGGCACCTGCCACCAAGCCTGGCTAATTTTTGTATTTTTAGTAGAGAAGGGATTTCACGCTGTTGGCCAGGCTGGTCTTGAACTCCTAACCTCAAGTGATCCACCTGCCTCAGCCTCCCAAAGTGCTGGGATTACACACATGAGCCACCGTGCCCAGCCCTCTGGCAACTTTTAATAGTAGGATTTTTAACTTTCTGTCTCAGATGATTTTTTTGTTGTTTTTTTGACAGAGTCTTGCTCTGTCACCAGGCTGGAGTGCAGTGGCGCAATCTTGGCTCACTGGAACCTCTGCCTCCCGGGTTCAAGGGATTCCCAAGAAGCTGGCACTACAGGCATGTGCCACCATGCCCAGCTAATTTTTTGTATTTTAGTAGAGACGGGGTTTCACCATGTTGGCCAGGATGGTCTCAATCTCCTGACCTTGTGATCTGCCCACCTCGGCCTCCCAAAGTGCTGAGATTACAGGCATGAGCCACCACGCTCAGCCCTCAGATCATTTTTGTATAAACTTTCATAAACATCCGGCCAAATAGGGCTCTCAACAAATATTGAGAGCCCTATAAGATAGTTGTTCTCAATTTCCGTGTGGACAGAATGGGCAGTACCTGGAGTGCTTGTAAAAATGCAGAATTCTGCAGCCACACCCACCCCACTCCCAGGACCCTGGTTCCCTTAGGTGATGACAAATCACAGAAACCTTAGACCACATTGCAAGAAGCAATATTGTAGTAGAGACTTCCAGGGGTGCCCTTTAGGTCCCCAACTCTCCCACCATGGGATGGGCTCACAATTGAAAGCTAATGAAGTACTTGTTTTTACACCGCCCTGGCCTTGCTTCTACATGGGAGTAATTCTGTTTACATATCCAGAAAGAAATCTGGGTTTCATTTTGCAAACTCAGGGCAGAAATCAGCTGCCTGAAGATGTCCTTAAACACAATCACAGCATTTTAGGGAAATTCTATGTATTACATATTTTGATGACACCACCATGCAAAAATGTGTTGTTTCCCAACAAAGGAAGGAGAAACTGTACCCTGACCATAATTTGAGAAGTCACCTATGAAAGCTGAGTTTAGGGCCGATTTGGTCCTAATTCCTAGAAGAACAAAGTCATGCAAGTTCTATTTATAGGTTAAATCTGGTCACCACAAAAATGTACAATAATGAAAGATGGCTGCAGCCTAAAGAGAAAACCTACGTAAGGAAAACTATTGATCAGAAGGAAAACTATTGATCAGTAGGAAAATGCAGACCATTGTAGATTTTGCCCAAGTCTTGCCTCAGTGGAATTTGACCTGTGTAACCATTTCCCCCTCCTCAGAGGCTTAATCTAAACCTTGCTTCTTGTTGTTTTTCCTGATCTGTTTCTGGTGAGTGGTATTTAGAGGGACTGGATTGAGTTAAAATAGTTAGACGGTTTCAGTGGCTGGAAACACGAACGTATGAATGAAGGCATGGTGAACTCACGTGCACTCTCCTCCAAAAAGGGTAGGAACGAGACCCATATAAGGTACTAGGGTAAAGTCCCTTTTCTCTTGGCCCTAGAAATGTTCAAAGAATTTCATGGTGTGCACCAACAATGCCTCATTCCTTCTGAAAATGAACATTTCACACCGTGTCCTAGTCACCAGCATTCACATTTGCAATCAGTGATTTCTCACATTCTTATTTTTAAGAGTAATTGAACAGCTTAGGTATACCAATTTTATGAATGTAGTAATTTTCCTTTTCTAGGAAGCGGGCTGGTACTGAGTATAAATCAGAATGAAACAGAAGTCAAAAGCCCATCACTCTTTCTCTGGCCCTCTCTCACCACTATTTTTGCCCTCAGCAAGGCATGGCAATCAATCCTCAGAAAGGACATACCTAATCCCTAGAATATTCCCTGCTACAGAACAGTCCAGACCTGCACAGAGATCCCCAGAGGTTGGAACCAGCACTAGACCCAGGGTCTCTGCGAGTTTCCTCAAATCTGAGGCCATCCTCCAAAGCCTGAGGATTTCTAAAAGAACACATGAATCCAGGCCATTCGGTCTGTTCAGGTCACCAGCATCCCCAGAATCCCAAGCATCTCCTGGGCCTGCAGATGGATGAGTCTTTATCTCAATCCCAGTAACAAGGCAGGGGTATAAGAACATTTGAGAAAATGAGACTGTGGAGGACTAGCTTGCCACATATCAAAATATACTATCATGCCACATTTAACTAGGTTGGTGCAAAAGTAATTGAGGTTTTTGCCACTAAAACCACAATTACTCTTGCACCAACCTAATGGTATAAAACTCATGTAGGGCCGGGTGCGGTGGCTCACGCCTGTAATCCCAGCACTTTGGGAGGCCGAGGCGGGCGGATCACGAGGTCAGGAGATCGAGACCATCCCGGCTAAAACGGTGAAACCCCGTCTCTACTAAAAATACAAAAAATTAGCCGGGCGTAGTGGCGGGCACCTGTAGTCCCAGCTACTTGGGAGGCTGAGGCAGGAGAATGGCGTGAACCTGGGAGGCGGAGCTTGCAGTGAGCCGAGATCCCGCCACTGCACTCCAGCCTGGGTGACAAAGCGAGACTCCGTCTCAAAAAAAAAAAAAAAAAAAACTCATGTAGAAATAGAAAAATAGGCCAATAGGCCGGGCTCAGTGGCTCATACCTGTAATCCCAGCACTTTGGGAGGCCGAGGTGGGAGGATCACTTGATGCCAGGAGTTCGAGACCAGCCTGGCCAAAATGGCAAACCCCATCTCTACTAAAAATACAAAAATTAGCCAGGCGTAGTGGCGGGCACCTGTAATCCCAGCTACTCAGAGGCTGAGGCACGAGAATTACTTGAACCTGGGAGGTGGAGGTTGCAGTGAGCTGAGATCGCGCCACTGCACTCCAGCCTGGGTAACAGAGCGAGACTCTCTCTCAAAAAAGAAAAAAAAAGAAAGAAAAGAAAAGAGAGCAATGGAAAGAAATGAAGAGTCCAGGAACTAGAGGGAAACAGCACATGTGCACACACAAAAATTTATCGTATGATTCAAATATATTCATGGAAAAGAACTGCTCTTCAACACTATTGAAACAATGGACTACCAGTTTGGGGGAGAAATGAAGACTGATCCTTACCTTACATCCTATATCCAAATAAGTTCTAAATAGATTGAGGTTTAAATATTTTTAAAATAATATTTAGAAGGCTAAGACTGAAAGATTGCTTGAGGCCAAGAGCTCAACACCAGCCTGGGCAACATAGCCGGACCTCATCTCTACGAAACAATTAAAAAATTAGCCAGGTCTGGTGGCATGTGCTGGTAGTCCCAGCTACCTCAGAGGCTGAGATGGGAAGATTGTTTAAGCCCAGGAGTTCAAGGCTGCAGTGATCTATGGTGGTGCCACTGCACTCCAGCACTGCAGCCTGGGTGACAGAGCGAGCCTCCATTTCTAAAATATAATCATGCCATCATCATCATCATCATCATCATCATCATCATCATTATCATCATCATCTCTTAAAAGTATTTGAAGAAAAATGAGTAGAGTATTATAATTCTACTATTCTTATTAAGTAAGAAAAAATACTCTGATTTTGAAAAGAAAAAATATAAATAAGTTCAGCAACGTAAAAGTTTTAAACTTCCCTACCACAAAAATTAATAAAAGACCTATGATATACTGTAAGTTTAAAGGTAAATAATAAGATAGGAGAAATATTTGCAATGCACCTTTTTAAAGGCGAATATAGAAGAGCATCTTACAAATCAAACCGCACTAGAAAAATGGGCAAAACACAGAGGCAATTCACAAAGGTGGAAATAAACGTACCATGAAACGCTGTTAAAGATCAAAGAAAATCATCTAAAACAACAATGATGGATCATATTTCACCCATCAGATTGGCAAAGACTAAAAAATAGTGACCCTACCGAGCGTTAGCATGGTGTGAGAAAATGAGATCCTTTTATCCACTGCTTGTGGGAGTGGAAATTTACACTCCCTTTTAGAGGGTGATATGGCACTGGGTGTCCAAACTCAAAATACACCTATCCTTTGACCAGCAATTTCACTTCTGGGAATTTATCCTAGAGAAATAGTTAGCCAGGTATGGAAAGATGAAGGCATGCAACATTGCAAGGGAGGTACCAGGTGGGATGGGATCACCGATACTCAATAAGTCCTGGGGACAGGAGTGCAGAGAAGAGGATACCAGCAGATTTCCAAGAGGCAGGGATGCTGGAGGCCCGTTTCAGAGGCAGGTGGGAGGAGTAACAGAAAAAGATGAGAGGATAAAGGCCAAGAGAGAACGTTCTGCAGTTGCCAACAAAAACTGGGGCCGGGATCATATAAGAATGAGTGAGGGGAAATGCTGGAGAGAAAACAGTGATAAGAATATTAGTGGCCGGGCAAGGTGGCTCACGCCTGTAATCCCAACACTTTGGGAGGCCGAGGCGGGCCAATCACTTGAGGTCAGTTCAAGACCAGCCTGGTCAACATGGTGAAACCCCGTCTCTACTAAAAATACAAAAATTAGCCAGGCATGATGGCGGGCGCCTGTAATCCCAGCTACTTGGGAGGCTGAGGCAGGAGAATCGTTTGAACCCGGGAGGCAGAGGTTGCAGTGAGCTGAGTTTGGGCCACTGCACTCCAGCCTGGGTGACAGAGCTAGACTGTCTCAAAGAAAAAAAAGCAAAAGGAAAGTAAGTAAAAAGAAAAGTGATGGCTACTAATAATGATGCCCACCTTACAGATGACAAAACTGAGGTCTGCCCTCACAGGTTAACACAGCTGGTCACATAACTTATAGCAACAGAGATGGAATTTGAGCGCAGCCCCATCTAACTGCAGAACCCAGGCCACGGTAAGGAATCTGGACTCGCTCCTGGTGGCCATGGGCTGCCGTGTGACTACTTAGGTTTGCCTTAGGGGAGTTTTCTCTGGTGGTAGTGTAGCGAGTCTACCAGAGGCCGCGCAGGCAGAGAAAAGGAGAAATCAGTAGGAGTCAATCACAGCAAAGTGAGCTAGAAAAGATGAACTGGGGCCGAGTGTGGTGGCTCATGCCTGTAATCTCAAAAGTTTGGGAGGCTGAGGTGGGCGATCACGAGGTCAGGAGTTCAAGACCAGCCTGGCCAACATGGTGAAATCCTGTCTCCAATAAAAATACAAAAATTAGCCAGACATGGTGGTGCGCACCTGTAGTCCCAGCTACTCAGGACGCTGAGGCGGGAGAATGGCCTGAGCCTAGGAGGTGGAGGTTGCAGTCAGCCGAGATGGCACCACTGCACTCCAGCCTGGGTGACAGAGTGAGACTCCATCTCAAAAAAATAAAAAATAAAAGAAAACAAAAGATGAAATGGGAATGGATCTGCGATGGGTTTGAAAGCTACTAGGAGAGCAAATCCACTGGCCTGAGGGAGCTGTTGAGTAAAGGATGCTGGAGGTCGGGGAGGAATGAGAAAGACTCCTGATTCTAGCGTATGTCACAGGCTGGATGAATGCCAATATCTAAAAACCTGCTGCGTGCTTCTTGAATACACCTTCTCTTCACACTTTTGCTCCCATTCTTCCCTCCCCATGAAACAGCTTCCCCAATTGTCTTCAAGGTGAAATCTTATCCAACCTTCAAAGCCTATCTCAAGGGCCACCTCTCTCATGAAGTGTTTTTTTGTCTGTTTGTTTTTGTTTTTGTTTTGAGATGGAGTCAGGCTGGAGTGCAGTGGTGTGATCTTGGCTCACTGCAACCTCCACCTCCCAGGTTCAAGCAATTCTCCTGCCTCAGCCTCCCGAGAAGCTTTGGGACTACAGGCATGCGCCACCATGCCCAGCTAATATTTGTATTTTTAGTAGAGATGGAGTTTCACCATGTTGGCCAAGCCGGTCTTGCACTCCTGGTCTCAGATGATCCACCTGCCTCTGCCTCCCAAAGTGCTGGGATTACAGGCATGAGCCACCATGCCCGGCCTCTCATGAAGTCTTTACAGAAAATTCTCCCTCCTCCCAGAGTGTGAATCATGGGGCATTTTGATGTTATCTCGTATTTGCCTTTATCTGCCTGATAGTTAATCAATTATGCAGATATCTTGTTTTCCTCCCTTGTCATCCTCCTAATGGAGGCTGGACCTAATGGCAAGGACCACATGGCCACATCATACCCCTTTCCACATTTTTTGCAGTCCCCACCAGAGTCTCCTGTGCACAGTAGATATCTAAATAGTTGAAATAAAGAAAACAAATAGTTTTCCCCCTCTTTCCTCTCTTAGATTTTTGCCTTCCCATCTTTTATAAATATTTCTTGCTCCAGAAGAAACCAAAAGAGTTGGAAGGAATGCCTTCCAACTTCCAACAAAAGAGTTTTGGAATGCCTGCAGGAGATTTTCTTAATCTTCAAACTGGCTGATAACACCACAGGAAACTATCTTAAGGAAAACATAGTGATGAAACAGTAGGGTCCTATTACCACTTCCCTGCTATACTGGCAAAGCAGTACGAGAATAATTTCCAGTGGAATGTCTTCCAAGTGTATATAAATAGTCATGGTCAGCTTGGTGAAAGTGTGTTTCCAAGATGAACTGATAAACTAAGCGAGATAAACGAGGTCAAGTGGACAAGATGGATTGCCTGGTACTTTTATAGAAGGAGTTTGCACATTTGGCCAGAAAGCAATTGCATGAGAGCTCAGATTCTCTGCGGATCTACCTCATTTTAGGGAGCATAATGGAAAATCTTTAATCTTGAAATAATAATAAATCACAAAAAATAAATAAATTGGGGGGAGGATTGTTTACAGAACTAACATATTCTTAAATCCACACTAGGTTATGGAAGGGCATAAACATATATTCAAGCAAGAAATCAGGCTGATCTTGGGTACAAATGAGTCAACCCAACACTCTCCACCATGTAGTGCTTTGGCCATTGCAGTGACACAGTGGGGCCCTTCCAGGAGTTATTCATCCTCTCAACTACTCCATAGACCAAACCAAAATTGCACAACGTGTGTTGGCTGAAACACTAATTCCTTTCCAAAAAAAGAGAGATTCTGAGGTCAAATACATTTAGAAAATGATTAATGTTATAACATTTCTTGAAGAGTCACGTTGCACTTTGGCATAATGAAAGCTCCAAAAATGCCTACTATAAATAAACTTTCACTTCCTTTAAACATATGTTTTCCCAACTTATTTTAGCATGGGACCTTTTGAGGGGAGTAAATGTCAGACCTAGTAACACCAGGTTGAAATAGAGTTCCCGAAAACCACCGAGTAAACTCAGCACCTTACCATCTCTGTTTTTCCTTCCTTCCTCTGAACTTCACTTCTTCCTTTTGAAATTCATGGCTGGGGATGGTAGCTCATGCCTGCAATCCTAGCACTTTGGGATGCCGAGGTGGGAGGATCACCTGAGGTCCAGAGATCATGACCAGCCTGGCCAACTTGGTGAAATGCTGTCTCTACTAAAAATACAAAAATTAGCCAGGTATGGTGGCACATGCCTGTAATCCCAGCTACTTGGGAGGCTGAGGCAGGAGAATCACTTGCTACTATACTTTTACCTGGGAGGCAGACGTTGTAGTGAGCCAAGATCGCACCACTGCCCTCCAGCCTGGGCAACAAGAGTGACACTTTGTCTCAAAAGAAATAAGTAAATAAAATAAATCCAATAGCCACATTGCTCATTTCATCAGAACCCAGAGAAGTAACTAGAAAACGTCAAGGAATAATTTAAGTCATCTGAAATTGCTAATGGGTAATTTGTATTACCTCCCTGGGTAATTTCTGTTTTTACTGAAGCCTTCTGAAACAGAATGGCTTAATTCAAAGGAATGGTGCATATACCAAGAAACTTATGCCTAAAAGTAGCAGAAGAGTCACTTCCTCTTTCCACGCCTAGGGTCATGACTAGGAAAATGAAGGGAAATCACTCCTTTTCCCCCTCCCATCCAAACAACTGCAACGACAATGAAATGTCCTGCTCAACTTTTGTGTAAACTTTGTGCCAAGAGTCACCCCTCATCTTTACCCAGCTCATTTCTCATGGTTCAAGAATCAAAATAAATGTTGCTTCCTCCTCCCAACTCCTAAACTAATATTAAAAAATCAGCTCTCCCCTTTCAGAAAACCCAGGACTGGCGAGGCACGGTGGCTCACGCCTGTAATCCCAGCACTCTGGGAGGCCAAGGTGGGTGGATCACGAGGTCAGGAGATCGAGACCATCCTGGCTAACACGGTGAAACCCCATCTCTACTACAAATACAAAAAATTAGCCGGGCGTGGTAGCAGGTGCCTGTAGTCCCAGCTACTCGGGAGGCTGAGGCAGGAGAATGGCGTGAACCCAGGAGGCAGAGGTTGCAGTGAGCTGAGATCATACCACTGCACTGCAGCCTGGGCAACAGAGCGAGACTCTGTCTTAAAAAGAAAGAAAAGAAAAAAAGAAAACCCGGGACTTCTCCCTCCCTGATCCTATAATTTTATCCCTCTGTGAGTAACAGCTGTTTACTTCTCTGCCTCAACCACCAGACCTTAAAGTTTGTGGAGCCAAAAGTGCTGTCTGTCTTATCTCCTGTTCACCCACGATGGTGCACATAGTTGGAAACAAACAACCTAAAGAATATAGAAATGTGTTTGTTTATTTTTCACCCTGCAGAACTAAGAACCTCCTTTACAAGGAGAAGATGAATGTATGAAAATGGATAAGTTGGTGAGAGCCCAATGATCCAGTTAGGCCATGTATATTAATTGAACATTGCCATATATGACATCATAGGGGAAATCATAGGAAGATAAATGACATCTTACATTCAAGCCCTACCTTCAAGGAACTTAAAATAACGAAGTGACAATAATAGCTCTTCCATGGGTCCTCAGACATGGCTGACCCAGGAGAGCATTTCAGGGACCCGAATGTGTCCTAGACACTGGGTGGGTTGATCAATTTCCCCTCATTTCTCTAATTAAGGACACAAATGTTTTCTCGATTGAAAGTTTCACCCTGGACCTCAGTGCCAGTGGCTTCCAACAGGACAGTTTCCTGTTGCAAGTAGGGTGGCCCAGAGAGTCCTAACTGAATAAGTGCATTTCTGCTACTAAATACTGTCCAGGAACTAGCATAGCAAGCCCAAGTGCAAGGGACGAGGCATAAGGGAGACTGAGGAAGGTGGGGGTGGGAGTTCTGCAGCCGTTGCTGGTGTGTGTGATATCAGCCGAATGGAGAACATCTGGGGCCTGTCAGGGTTTCCCAGAGATCTTCCCTGTCTAATGACAGTGAGAGCAAATTAAGATTGATAAATTGTATAGCTCTTTCTGGCTTTAAAGATCCCAGATGCTCTGCTAAATTAATGGCCGCTCTATCTCCACTCAATCTGACACCAAAACAGAACCTTGAAAATGTACCAGACCCCCACTCCCCCAACCATCTGAGCGCATCCAGGACACTGCAACTTTTTTCAGCCTGGATTCCAATGTGCAAACTCATGTATTTAGTTGGTCGTCTGTGTGTGTGTGTGTGTGTTTGTATGTGTATGGTATGTGTGCGTGTGTGTACATATGCACACACATGCATTTCCAGACCACAGCGTATCTTTACCGCAGGGCATGTGCTTGCAAAGTCATCATCAACAAATGAATCTCTGGAAAGACACATTTCTTAATTCGCCCCAAGTTCGTTAAACACCAAACTGCCCGCTACGGGATAATTCCAAGAAAGATGAGATCATTTGTGTCATTTGGAAACTGTCGTTTTACACAAAGATAATACATTGCTAATAATATTACCTAAGATTGTTCTGTTCTTATTCTCTGGCACTCAGTTCAATAACCCAGTTCTCTATGTGAAGGGAATCATGTTTTGTTTATATCAGTAGAATATAATCAAATTTCTCTTGAGGAAAAGTATTTGGGGGCAATTAGCTAAAGTTATTCTGTTTCTAGGAGATTCTAGAGATTAAATACGATTGGAGAATGACCTCTTGTTGTTTGCCCAAGTGCCCCTAAGCATGGAACTCCTAATGAGGTGTCTCTTATAATGGTGGCTCCTTTAGAACGGAACTGACTAGAAGGAAATATCCTTAATGAAGGATAAGCATCCCGGGAAGACATCGAAGCCAAAAAAGAAACATTCTGTAAACTCCAACCACTGAGTCCAAATTGACACAGACCAAGGCCACACCCTCACAGTGTACATTCTAGTGGAAGAGGTAGACAATAAGTAAATAAGAAATGTGTGAAAAATAGAAAGAAAAATAGGCCAATAGGTCGGGCACGGTGGCTCATGCCTGTAATCCCAGCACTTCGGGAGGCTGAGGCGGGTAGATCACCTGAGTTCAGGAGTTCGAGACCAGCCTGGCCACCCTGGCCAACACGGCGAAACCCCACCTCCACTAAAAATACAAAAAATTAGCTGGGTGTGGTGGTGGGCGCCTGTAATCCCAGGTACTCAGGAGGCTGAGGCAGGAAAATTGCTTGAACCCGTGAGGTGGAAGTTGCAGTGAGCCGAGATCGTATCACTGCACTCCAGCCTGGGCGACAGAGCGAAACTCCATCTCTGAAAAAAACCCCCCCAAAAAACAAAAACAAAAACAAAAGTTGGGGGACAGGCATCAGGCTGTGTGGCTCAGCATCAGAGTACCTTGTGCTGTTTCCCTGCAGAGTTTCCAGATAAATATCAGACCACACTGGAGAGAAATCTCTCCTACCAGCCATTCCAGAATGCCCATGGGAACATGAATCCTGAAGAAAAGTCGAAATCTAACACACTCTGCAAACCACCCTGTTATGAAATCAGAAGAGACCAAAATAGCTGAGAGCTAAACGAGTTCCTTTACCATTTGAAATAGGCAGAAGAAAGAACTTCTTGACTGTAAAGATGATGAAAATTCAGAATAGGCTGCCAGGGAAGATGGGAGACTTTTTTCTTGAAGGAAAGATTACTCTGCAACACTCATGGTTCAAATGTGATTCAGGTGGGAGGCAACCCTGAGCAAGATCAGTTCATACTTGTCCCCAAGATCAGAAACATCTGCTATATCACTTTTTAAAATGTTTTTATGGAGATTCTCAAGCATATAGAAGAATAAAATGATAATAACACATAGACCCATCATCAAGAACCAAAATTTTTAACACTCCACCATATTGGAGTGTTCTGTTTTGTTTTTTGAGACAGAATCTCACTCTGCAAACTTGACCTCCTGGACTCAAGTGATATTCCTATCTCAGCCTCCCCGAGTAGTTGGGACTCCAGGTGCATGCCCCATGCCTGGCTAATTTTTGTATTTTTTGTAGAGACGAAATTTTGCTATGTTGCCCGGTCTGGTCTCGAACTCCTGGGCTCAAGCAATACACTTGTCTCAGCCTCCCAAAGTGCCGGGATTATAGGCGTGAGCCACTGTGCCCGACTGTATTTGTTTTATCTAGATAATGGGTAGACAGATAATAAATAGGTATTGCAAGTCACTTGAAAGACACCATGACACTCACTTCTAAATATTATAATTATCCATCTCCTTAAAATAAAGACATTCTCTACATAATCACAGTTATTACTACTAAGAAAATTATCGATAATTTTCTGATAGCTACTCCATTTCCAAGTCTCACCAATTGTTTCAAAAGTATCTGTCAATGACCTATTTAGATGATAGCTGCAATATGTTTGCCTTGTTTGGGTAGAGACTTTAAATTCCATTTAGTTTTAGATTTACATATAGATGCCAGCATTGAAAATATACCAAAATGTAATATAGTCATGATTACAAATGCAATAGTTAGGACTAATAAACTATTCATCAACTGAGAGAGACACATAGAAATGTAAGAAAATGAAATAGAAAAAAAAAAAAGACTGAGCCTGAAGACGTTGATTCATTTATTCAGCAAGTAGACTTGCCCTTGGGCATGTGGTGATGTGCAAGACAGACATGGTCCCTGGGTTCTGGGGTCAGCAGAGCCAGGAGAGGAGGAGTCAAAATGAAAGAGAAACAGCTACCAAGGAATGAGAATCTTCATTGTCTCTGAATGTATTTAGTTTGGTGCAGAAGTAACGCACAATTACTTTTGAACGAACCTAAATACATGCAGAGCCTAGGAAGATTCATAGTAAAGTGACTGTGGAATGCATTTAGGTAAAAGTATAGTAACTATTTACTACAGTAGTAAGGTAAGTATAGTTGTATTTAAGTAAGTATCTACGTTAGTATTTAGGTAAGTATAAACTAATTGCAGTATTTAGGTTGGTGCAAAAGTTATTGCGGTGTTTGCCATTACTTTTAATTCTCCCCTTCTTGAAAAAGTATTGAAAAAGACATTCTTGGAAAAGTCTTCTGGGCCGGGCGTGGTGACTCACGCCTGTAATCCCAGCACTTTGGGAGGCTGAGGCGGGCAGCGGATCACGAGGTCAGGAGATAGAGACCATCCTGGCTACCGCGGTGAAACCCCGTCTCTACTAAAAATACAAAAAATTAGCCGGGCATGGTGGTGGGTGCCTGTAGTCCCAGCTACTCAGGAGGCTGAGGCAGGAGAATGGCGTGAACCCGGGAGGCGGAGCTTGCAGTGAGCCGAGATCGCGCCACTGCACTCCAGCCTGGGCAGCACAGCGAGACTCCATCTCAAAAAAAAAAAAGAAAGAAAAAGTCTTCTGGATATAAGATTTTAAAGTTGACTTAGTCATTGTTTACAGGGACATTTGCAGGGAGGTAACCTGCATACTGGGATTAACAGCATCAAGGAGATGGCTGCTGGATGTCCCTAGTCAGTAGACAGATAAGAAGAGTTACTGGACGACCAGTGAAATTCATCTTGGATAGAAGCCCTGTGGCCCAAATAGAAGAGATAGGGGAATACCCGTTCAAAGAGTGAATGGCTTTTTTCATATGTGTGTGGAGCAGGGAAGGAAGGACATCTCTCCCGCATTCCTTTTCTGAGGGATTTATCTAAAACCTGGCATGTCAGAGATGGAGAGCTTGACTCTCCATGGCAAAAGTAATCTGCCATGGGGATTGAATAGGATGATAGAAATGTCAGAGAATATGAGGTCTGTTCATTCACCAAACATTTATTGAACATCTGTGAGGCATAGGAATCTGTTAGGCAATTTAGGGGACCTAGGCAAGTCAGATGCTGGCCCCGCCCTTTAGAAGATTTAGGGCAGTGGAGTGAAAACTACCAGGCACTTTCCTGAGAACACATAGCTCTTTCGGCGGCACCGCTTTGGTTTAAAGCCTAGGTTTCTTCATTTACCAACCAGGGCTGTCAATCACCAAGCCATATTGGCCATGGTGAAATTTCATATTACATAAGTTCTTTGTTAGTACCAGGAGGGAAGAACCTTGGATTCGTTCCCCCATTGTACCCCTATACAGTAATGAACACATGTCTTCAATGCCTGGCACATAATAGCTGCAGAATAAATTTTTTAGCTGAATGAACATGCACAACTGAGGCAAAGCAATATGTTATAATGTCTTCTCGCATTTTGTACTAAACACTTTTATTTTGCTTTTAGCTTCCTTGACCTTTCACGCTTTACAAGACAAAGACATCAAAGGGGTGAAGATGATGATTTCAATAGCTAAGAATACTTTGGTTTTGTCAGATCTAATCTTTCTTTTCAGAAGTGACTTTATTCTAATTTTAGCCTTAAATAATGAAAACCATATAGGCAGAAGCTATTTGATCCTACTGTTTGGCAGGGGAAAAAAATCTACACCATTGGAATTGCTGTAACTTCTATACTAATTCATTGACACTCTTCCCGCTTAAGAAAGCAGAAAGAGCCACTTTGTAAAGTCTCTGTGGCTTGACAAGAAACTGAAGCTATGTGTAGATAATTTAAATAGTTCATGTGTCACTTGGGCAGTTAGCCTTATTGGCATTTAAAACAAAGTAGTATTTTCAGTAGCAAATACAATTTAGAGACATAATTTCCATTGTTGCTGAAAGACTTAGGCAACTTCCTTGTCCCTCAACAGTGAGCTTAATTTTTAACTCTGATTGAATTTCCCAAGACACTGAATGGCTTTTCAGTCTTCTCTCAGTTAGAAATAAGCCAGCTATTTGGGATAAGCGGTCAATAATTATTGAGATTTTGGAGTTGCTCACGATCTGTGACATAAGTTTTAGACATCTAATCATCATGCAGACAGCTCCCATCAATGCTTTTAGCGCTTTGCAGAAATTGGAAACATTCTCCAAGGCCCACCATCTGCTTTTAAAAAAAATTCTATTTGCAAATACCAAACCCTCTTTTAGCTGAATGAACATGCACAAATGAGGCAAAGCAATATGTCATAATATCTTCTCGCATAAGAGGTTATGGCATCTTTCTGTAGAGGTGAAATATCTACCGACAATGGCCAAAATCCTATACCTGATGTTCCCAGGCTCAGTTAGACTCCAGCTGAGCTCCTGCCCCCGGCCAGGATCTGGAGAGCCGCCTCCCGTGGTGCCATTTTATTAACTCACTCCAGGAAACAGTGAGGGGAACAAGGAAACTGCCTGTGTGTCCCATGATCAGCTGTGGCGTGAAGGGAATGATTCCTTGCCTTTTGTTTCACTGGGTCTCATCCTTTCTCAACCTTTTGCCACAGGTTATCACAAACAACATTCCCTAGTTCTGAAGAGTGTGAATGGACTGGGAGGTGTTGCTGAGAGCCCAGACTCTCAATTGCTTGAGTGGGTCCACGAAGACCTCATTCTCTTTAACACTCTACTCCTAATCTGCCAACAGGAGCCACTGACTTTCCTGCCTCAGCATCAAAGTTCCCCAAATCAGCTACTTCTCAGTGTCACATGGTCTTTAAGAAGCAGTAAAGCAGGGGACAGGATTTAGAAAAAGACACATCTGAAAGGTGCAGGAGATTCTCACTTTCCATTCCTTTCCCAATCACACCAGGCTTGCCTCCAACTCAGCCCCTCCTGGCCTCTAAGGCATTTTTACCCAAATTCCAGACCCCAGCTTCTCCTTCTTCTGAAATAGCTCCAAAGGCTATTTCATGCCCAAGCAAGGCTAAGGGTCCCTCGTCAGGGGAAGAGTGGCCAGCTTGCCTTCCCATCCCTCTAAAGCCCTGCATTGAATGCCACTGATGCCCACAGCCTTCAGTTCATTCAAGAGGAAGCAGCAGATCTGCTCTCCCCTAGACATGCACAGACGGGACCAGGCACTGGGCTGGCTAGAGTTGCTGGAGCCAGTAAAGAGGGGAGTTACAGAGAAGAAAATTCTCTACTCTCAAGATAGTGCACCTTGCCATGTGCTCTATAGCAATGCCTCCAGTGGGCGTTCCTCTCTCTCTCACACACACGCACACGCACACACACACACACACACACACACACAGCTACCTCTCATTTTCACTCTATGACTACTTCATTCAAATTTCTCTGCAAACTGGCTTCTCTGCTTATTTACTTGTTTATACATGGTTGACAATGGCTGCACCCAAAGGAAACGTCACCACTTGAGCCTACACTATCTGAATTCAACTTCCTGCAGGTAGCACGCTCAGTCTAATTCCCCAGTTACAGATTCCTGGATAAGATGATTAATAGTCCAGCTCTGGACAGTTATCCATCTATGGCCCATTATCTGTGCCCAAAAGAGGAGGGTCATACAGTGATTAGAGCTGTCCCATAGGGCTGAGGATAAAGCAAGTTCTCCATGAAGGGTTAGGCAATAGGAAGAAATTATTAAAATCTCTAGCTCATAGGACTTTTTAACAATTCTTTAAGCACCCAGGCAAGAATAATATTTCTCAACAGTGGTATGAAAACTACAGTAGTGCTCAATGCTACTGCCATATTCAATACCTTAAGATGAAGAAGCATTGTCTATTGAAGGTTTTCTTTTTTTCTTTCTTTCTTTCTTTTTTTTTTTTTTTTTTTTTTTTTGAGACAGAGTTTCGCTCTTGTTGCCCAGGCTAGAGTGCAATGGTGCAATCTCAGCTCACTGCAACTTCTGCCTCCTGGGTTCAATCAATTCTTCTGCCTCAGCCTCCTGAGCAGCTGGGATTACAGGTGCCCACCACCACACCCAGCTAATTTTTTGTATTTTTAGTAGAGACAGGGTTTCACCATGTTGGCCAGGCTGGCTCAAACTTCTGACCTCAGATGATCCCGGCCTCGGCCTCCCAAAGTGCTGGGATTACAGGCATGAGTCACCGAGCCCAGCCTGTCTATTGACTTTTGAGCAGGGTAAGGTTGTAATCCAAGATTTTTAAATACAACCAAGTTGTTCTTTATACTCTTTGCAACTGAAAGATATTCTCATATCTGCATGATATTTTTAAAAATATCATAACAAGACACAGTCTAGCTAACCAAGTGGAGAGAAGGACCCTCACAACAGGGGTTTTGCTACTACAGCAGCCTCGTGCAATATGGAAAATCCTGAAGGAAGCAATGGAAGAGTTTCGTGGTGAAGTTCCGCCAGTTTGGATGGAAGTAATTTTCACCAGATATATTAATAAAGATTGCCACTCACCTCTGAAGAATCACTACAGCTGGGACAAGATGCCTCACTCACAGCCACTAGAGGTACTCAAGCAACTGGAATTTGTCCCAGCTACTACACGGGAGCGTAGGCCACAGCCAGCTTACACCTGTAGCCAGGGCCAACCTGACACCAAGCTAGGACAGCTTGGTGGGACAGGATACCAAGGGACAGGACAGCTCACTCCATCACTAGAATCTGGGGAACATATGGGATCCCTGTGTATGTCAGAAAGCTGTGGGTTAAGTCCTTGAATTAGGTTAAACCAGACTTTCTGCCATTACCTGTGCTAGGAGCTTAGGATTCAACCATTTAGACCAAGGAATATTATTTTGCACACAAATCTATAAATAGCTAT
The DNA here is from genome assembly GCF_000001405.40 of Homo sapiens. Taxonomy (NCBI): domain Eukaryota; kingdom Metazoa; phylum Chordata; class Mammalia; order Primates; family Hominidae; genus Homo; species Homo sapiens. The sequence continues at coordinate 15,476,260 of NC_000010.11, read as the reverse complement.
TAGTGTCTACTTATAGAAGACACTAATCACAATTAATAGCTCAAGCGTAAATAAGGCGTAGACTGAATACTCAGTACGTTCCTCTAAAATTGTTGTATATTTGCAGTAATAACCTTCATCTGATTGATTGATAATGGGGATATCGAGTAGAGATAAATGTTAACAAAAGGACTTCGTCCCTGTCATTGACAAAGCAAGGAAACGTGTGGGTTTACACACAAGATATATCATTCAGGTTAAAACAGACTAAAAAATTAATAATAAACAAAATATTAACAGACTAAAGCTTGAGACAGTAATAATGATAATTTTATTTGGTACCCAACTGGATACCACATCCACGTGAAGTACTTTCTTTGCATTCTATCCTTTTGATCTTTACATAAGACAACTGAGATTTATGTTCCATTTCCTATGAAATGGGAATAAAATTAAAGTAAGAATAAAAATTTCAAAAAATTATAATTGTTTTGTTTTAATTTTTAGCTCTCACAAATAAGTGAGAACATGCAAAGTTTGTCTTTCTGTGCCTGGTTTATTTCACTTAACATAATGACCTCTGGTTCCATCCATGTTATTGCAAATGACAGGAGTTCATTCTTTTTTATGGCTGAATAGTACTCCACTGTGTGTATGTACCACATTTTCTTTATCCATTCATGTGTTGATGGACACAGGTTGCTTCCAAATCTTGGCTATTGTGAACAGAGCTGCAGTAAACATAGGAGTGCAGATATCTCTTCAGTACACTGATTTCCTTTCTTTGGAGGATACTCCTGGGATAAGTAATAAATGAAGCTCTCAGAGAATGAAGAACTGATCTGCTGTCATTCAAGGACCACTGAACAAGGACCAAGCTGAGGTTCACACTCACATCTCGCTGATTCCAAAGCTCATGCTTTTAACCACTTTTATCCCATCATTTCCTGAAATTCAGAGTTACTAGGAAAGTCTGACCTGGAAGAATTCTCTTTCACCAAGTCAATTAGTCTGAAAACTGCAAACCAGTTTTCAACTTCCAAAGAGCTAACAAAACAAAAACTCTAAACACAAACAGGTGGAAACAGAAAACAGGTATATTGAAACAGTTGAGAATGTATAAGTGTTCCGTCAAAAAGTACTATGAAGTTTAAAACGTCAGACTGAAGATTTTTCTTTAAAAGTTAGAGGAAGGATATTCCAAAGTACAAACTAGAAGCATTGTTACAAATTTTGCCCATGATAAATATCCCAAGTTGAAGCAATAAGTTTCAGAAACTTTTCCATAGAAGAGTATACTCAATTTAAATGACCTCAAATTTTCCTTTGTTTTCCCAGATATTTCACAGTGACTGAATCAAAAGATCAATAAGTTGTACAGTCATCCATATTAAGTTTCTGAAATTTTTACAACATGAGAAACGTTGAGGTCATGATGCCAAGTGAAAAAAATCAGGATTCAAGTTCTATGCTGTATAAACTTCGATGTGTAAAAAAGGTATGGGGAAAATAACTGTAAGAAAACATACCAAATGGCTAAGAACTTGAAGGGTTGGCTGGGTATGTTCTGAATAATATTTTCCCCTTCTTGTTACTTCTCTTTATTTCCCAAATTTTCTTGAATGTATACATTCTTATCATCAGAAATATAATCCGTATTTTAAAAATAAAAATTGTGACCAGCACACAACTTTGTTAGTATAGTTGGCGCAATGGAAGGAGTAGTTCTGGAGTTCTATAAAAACCTGGATGTTTAGAAAATATTAATTCCCCCACTCCAGGGTCTCCCAGTCCTGGAAATCATCTAGCCCCATCTACGCAAGTCTTTTCATTTACACAATGAGAGAGTTGGAACAATGGTCTTCAAGGTTGCTTCCAATTGCACAGAGGATAATCCTGCTACTGAGAATGCTCCGTGGAAGAACTGCAGTGACCATGAGAAGGGATCTTGCAAACCTCCAACTACACGAAGTGTAATTGACCAAGGGGGTCAGCAGCATCCCCTGAAATCCACAGTTACATTCACGTCAAGGTGGCCCTTCTTATGAGCTGAATCCAGCCAATGGCTGAGCACAGCGGGGCAACCCTGAGAAACATGGCACTTCTCTGACACGTGGGACCTGACTTTGGCTGAAGGCCTCCCCAGTGGCCTTACTGAACTTTCCTTCAACTGCACAGCGCTTTTGGATATTTGAACCCAGCCTTCTTCTTGGCGGCCTCCTTTGCTCTGGGTAGTATTCTTATGGGGGTCTCATGGCTCTCTTAGCCTTTCTTGGCTCCAGCTCCACCTTCTCTCACAAAGGTACCCCTCTGTACACATCTTCCCACACTGATCTCATCCTGGCGTTTTTTTCCCAGAGAACCCAGATTAGCCCAGCATGTCAGTGGCTCCACAAAGTACACCTTCGCTTAGAAAGATTGTGAGGGGGAGTCCCAGGGGTCACAGCTCCTCAGAGGGCCTGGATACCTGGTTTGTACTTCCTTTCTTGTTGTGGTTTTCTTTCTTTGTAAAACAAATGTCAATTACAGTCCAAATTGGGGAGGATTCAGTTGCTTTGAAACCAATTAAATAAAGAAAAATAAGCCTTCCCTGGGCTTCTTTTAAACTTGCTCTTTTTCCTTCCTCCCCACCAGCCATATGTATCGCCTCAGCAACTTCCGACTCCACTTCTGATCAGATAATAAAGTTCATTCTTCATTTCTGTCAACTACAGCATGAGAGGAATCTTCCTCTGAGATTTAAAGTGTAATTAACTCCAGTGTGACTCCCCCTGCCCCCACACTTTCGGATGGTTAGGGGACCGCTTCTTGTTAAAATTCTCTATTTTTAATGCAGTTGCTCGAGCCTTTCATGGTTATTTGTCCATCTTTGTCCACCTTAATCATTCCTTTGAAAGTGTCAGTAGTTTAGCCGTTCCCTGACTCTCCGTCACTACCCCTTCCTTGTTAAGGATATTAGAATCCAAGGTGCTTCCTGCTGGGCTGTTTAGAATCTAACTCTTCTGCAAGCTACAATGAAAGCAGCCTCACAAACATCAGTTCAGAACCTCTGAATCAACATTTCAGAAAAGATACCTTCATGCATTTTAATGAGAAAGAAAAACAAACAACTCTCCAGGGAAGTAGACTCCTTTCTTTGATGAGCTCTGAGTAGTTCAGGGACTCCTCGGGAGACATTTCCTCCTCTAGGTAAGGGGTAGAGGTCCTGGGGAGGGCCACCCCCTAGGATGCAGTCAGCATGCCTTTCTCTCCCCTGAGCAATGGACTCTGCGGCTGCAGGTCTTGCATGGGGAATGTTTCATCTTCCCCGTGATGTAAGATTTGGCTCTGGCTTGTGGATTCTTGTGGCAGTGGTTGTGCATGGGCCAAAACCCTTACAGAGCAACGCTCAAAGAGATTAGGGATGACAGAGCCCCCTGCATGTGGACAAACAAGAACATGCCATGGTGAGAGGGAGGTAATCGGATTTTCCCCCTTCCTCCCTCTTAGTCACGGCTGCAAAACTGTCTCCAAACTCTATACCAGGTATTTTCAGATGGTGGCAGATGAGACAAGCCAGAGACCTAATCAATGAAGGACGGCCTTGCCAAGTCCCTCAAAGAGCTGGCGCAGTTGTGGTGCGAGAGTGGGTCGCGCCCCACCGGATATAACCATCTAACTCCTGGGTGTTCAGCGGATCTGATGGTGCATCTCAGGGCACTGACTCAACTCAAGATCAAGTGTCCTTATTCCCTGGTTTAACCGAAATGACTAAAATAGAAGGCTTTACTAGGCAAACAAACAGATTTTTTTTATACTGCTTGTTCCTGTTTCTATTGTATTGTCCTCAGGGAATATAGAAAAAGCAAATATTATCTATAGTGATTTCCTCTTATCAGAGGCCACATGCATGAGGCTTTATGTCCCCAAAGAATTCGTAGCCTTTCCCAAGGAGGTCTCCTCTAATATCCTCTCTGCGGTTATTTATTGTTGCATTTCCAAAATAAACAACCATACAACCGAAACACAGTCTTGGACAGAGATTCCTAGGAACACAAGGCTATTGATTTTAGGCAGCAGCAGGACGTCTGCATGTGGAATGAAGGAGTTTATCTCTTTAGCCTGCTGAACTCTGTGCAGTTTATCCAGTCACCCATGAATGCTTCAATGATACACACTGTCCTCCTTCCCACACTACCAAGGGGAGGCCACTGTGCACCAGAGAAACTCCCATTTCGAAACCTAAATCTCTTGCTAATACCCACGTTCCTCACACACCATTCAAGCAAGATTTGGTAATTTAGTCTCACTAAGAAGTAAAGGATTCTATCCCCATTAAGATGGGTGCAATTTCTTCCTTCCAAAAGTATTATTTCTAAATCTAATCTCTATTACAAATCCTCTGAAATGGAAGAGTCAAGTGGTGGCTGTTGGGGAAGGGGAAATTCTAGAGTTGGTGATTAAAAAGAGAATGAAACCCACTTTGCGAGGCCGAGGCGGGCAGATCACTTGAGGTCAGGAGCTCAAGATCAGCCTGGCCAACATGGTGAAACCCCGTCTCCACTAAAAATACAAAAATTAGCCAGGCATGGTGGCAGGCGCCTGTAATCCCAGCTACTCAGGAGGCTGAGACAGGAGAATCACTTGAACCCGGGAGGTGGAGGCTGCAGTGAGCTGAGATCGCTTCACGGCATTCCAGCCTGGGCGACAGAGCAAGACTCCATCTCAAGAAAAAAAGAAGAAGAAGAAGAGAATGAAATAGAACAAGGCTTTTGGGACTATGAAATTTCCTGAATTTTACAAAGAAATGGTGAAGAAGAAACAGGACGCTCCTAACCAAGTTTGAAGATTTGAGGTGCATTACATATTCTATATTATGGATGATTTCCCCAAAAGGTAACCTCTTAAATCCTTTTATCACACTCATTTACATCTCCAGAAAATCTTCCAGAAATGGTTTGTTGCTTTGCAGGTGAACTAAAAGCAATAATCATCACTGAGGAATCAATGTTAAAGATAATTTCTTTAACTTGGATAGTACAATGAAATCCAGTAGCCCAATGGTATGAAATTAGTGTGAAATTACTGTCTCAATAGTTCAATCTTTTTAAAAATTGTTAACTGAAGATTAAATGAATGAGAAAATACATTATGTAGTTCTCTTGAGAAATTGGGTTGGTGGCAAATTAACAGTAAACTCCTGAGAAAGGTGTTAGAGGTGACCATTAGGCATCTTTGTTAATGACCTGGCAGATGAAAAGCAAAGAAAGGAAACAAAATTTAAAGAAACCCCAGAGAGAAACAAAATCGAATTAGAAGTGTGACGTTTTAACGCAACAAGAGTTCTACCTCTGATTGAAAATAACACAAAACACAGACCACTAAAAGCATGAGCAAGACTGGAACAGAGTCAAGAAACCTGAGCAGAGTGTGGGAAATTCATGAGTGAATTCTTGCTGTAAAATAGAGAAATCAAATATTGGGGATTCTTGGGGATTCATGAACTGCTTCTCCTAACAAAATGTGATTTTCTTACTCCCTACCAGTCAATTAATTTTCACCTCCTATTCAGTAGAACGAAAAAACTAAATTCCAGCGACCTGAGAACAATATAGGTTTGGGCTTTGTTTAGTAAAACAGGCACTGGGACATAAACCTTCACTTGACGATGGGATGATAACACCGTGAACCCCAAATGCTATCGTTATGTTTCAGAGTTTTTGGTGTTCGTGAATCGACATGGTGTACATGAATCTGTGCATAATGACATGGATTCAAGGGAAATTTATTTTTAAACTTAATGTACATGTTTTGACTGAAATAACCATGGGGAAGAAGGGAATGAAGGCAGCACCATACTTAGGTGGAAATTCCTGCCTGAGAGGCCTTAGCACTCAGTAGACAAGAGAGAAGGGGAGGGGTATTCAGAGGAAATGAGAGAACACTGGTCACAAGAGTCATTGTATCATGAAAAACAATTTCCAAATGAATAGCTCAAGCCGCTTTATCCTGCCCCTATCATGCCAAAATGCGCAATCCTCTATAGAAGTTAAAAGCGATGGCTCACGCCTGTAATCCCAGCACTTTGGGAGGCCGTGGCAGGTGGACCACAAGGTCAAGAGATCGAGATCATCCTGGCCAACATGGTGAAACGTTGTCTCTACTAAAAATACAAAAATTAGCTGGGTGTGGTGGTACGCACTTGTAGTCCCAGCTACTCGGGAGGCTGAAGCAGGAGAATCACTTGAACCCGGGAGGTGGAGGTTGCAGTGAGCCAAGATCCTGCCACTGCAGTCCAGCTTGGGCAACAGAGGGAGACTCCGTCTCAAAAGATAAATAAATAAATAAATAAAGTATCTTAGAGTAACCATGAAGAAGGAAACAAGTGATCTATTTGTGAAACTGACTACAATCTCCCTTAGTGCTGAAAGTACAGAGTTCATCAAGCAGCAAGCATTTGTTGAGAATTATTACGGGCCCAGGACCACTGGGGACACTTTTAACACACCAAGTGTGTACTAGAATCTTCGTCATTAACAACATTTTAAAATTGAAAAGCCAAGCTCCAAAAACTCATAGAGGGCAGTAGAAGTCAATGCAAAACTGCATGGAGTTGCTGGTATCGTCACAAAGCCCCAGAGAAATCTGCAGGTGAATGGAAGCAGGGATATCCACAGAGCTTCCTGGAAGATGGGATCTCGAAGGCCAAGGAAGATGTGACTATGCAGAAGGGAAGGAAAAAGACATCCCCCCCCAAAAAAAATAAGACACCAAGCAAGGCTTTGAGAGAAAGGCCTGGCAGTGAGTGAGGCCATCAGTCCAGTTAGAGCACAGGGCCTGTGATGAAGTGTTCTGGCACTAACATCCTTGGAGGGGTAGTGTGGGGTCAGACAAGGAAGGACATGAAAGCTAGGAAGGAAGAAATGATGAGAAAATAAGAAGCCACTTCTCATTTCTAAGCAGGGAGTCAGGCCAGCTAGCTGGTCAGATTAGTGCCAAAATCCAGGCGTGGATAATGAGAGTCAAGATGAAAAAGGGGTGGTTATGGCAACAGAGAGAGGGGAAGAGAAGAGAAACATTCCAAAGAAAAGATGAGCGAGTCCTTTGAAAGGCGCAGTACATAGGACGTGGTGAGTCACATTTTACCCGGATCTCCCAGGGGTCTGCCTGCCACCAGGAGTCCATGGGCCCAACTGAGCAGATGCCATGTGCAATTCATTTTCCCAAAATACTCTTTGCAGGAGGCAGATGGAGGGAAGAATCTGTACACTGGCAAGTCAAAAAGCAACGTCTGGATACATGGTCTTAAGACCACTGTATGTTTTCCATAGAAGAAAACAACCGTAGGTTAAACGTGAAGACCACATATTGAAAAGGAGATGGAATTAGGTGAAATGGGGCTTATTTGACAAGGCTGAAGCCCAGCAGTTCCCATCCTGAGGTCTCCCTGTCAGCAACATTGCTGGTTCCTAAGGAGAAAGCAGTGAGACAAATTAGTGCTCAGGGTTCCTTCCTGCAGGAAAAAGAAAAGAAAATTGCACAGGGAAGAAAAATGGCTGATACCATCCTATTTCCACCATTCCCCAATCCAGCTCCACATGGAGATTCACTAGAGTTGCAGTAGTCCCTGTCTGTACCACTCCTAAGCCTCTCTAGACAAGACCCTTTTCAGGCTCTAACTCTCTAGCTCATGCTGTAACTCCAATGGCACACTTCAGGGCAGGCATGAGGCAGCTTGATATGCTATCTCCTCTGCCTTTAACCAATTACAGCAAGTCAGGAGAATACTGGTTAGGACATTGTACTGATTTTAGAAGTACCATTGTCTCTGCTTTCATGGCTTCCTGATCATCTGTTCTAGAACATTAAGCAGAAAGCAATAAATGTTATTTTAACTGCAGTCAGATGACTAACAGAGATGGAGAAGAAGACATTACTGAAAGGCACAGTGCTGAACTTTCCTAACGCTCAACCTTTGCTTGAGGCCAGGCTGGTTTTGCAATGACTCGGGGGTCTCTTGGAGTAGCGTTCCTCATGTATTATTTATTTTTTTAGGAGACAGAGTCTTGCTCTGTCGCCCAGGCTGCCGGAGTGCAGTGACATGATCACAGCTCACTGCAGCCTTGAACTCCTGGCCTCAGACAATCTTCCCACCTTGGCTTCCAGAGTAGCTGGGACTTCAGGTGTGCACTACTACTCCCAGCTTAATTTCTCATTTAATCAAAGTTCACCAGACTGCTCTGAACACACTTCCTTATTTTTATTAATTATTTTAATGGTCAAGTGCCTCAGTAAAGTCTCATCTAAATGAATAGACAAAATACATAACAATTCATTGGGGCAAACAAAACAAAACAAAAACTTTGTATATGTCCTTCCTGTAGGAAATGGTAGAGTAATCATCTCCGCAAATGTGAGTGTAATACAGATTTCATAATAAAATGTCAATGCAAGCATCATTCAAATATCTCTGTGAACTGTCCTTTCAGAATATTACCTGTGGACATTTTAAACTTAGGCTGACTTCCTTCACCATGTAGCCTGTCTGGGGGCCTTGTTCTCTCATGTTCAGCAGCTGGGTGCTCAGAGCTAAGATACCAATCGCATTGAACTAAACAAACATAATTCTGAAGACCAATGTTGAAAAGCAATTATGTAGGGGATTGTTTCTTCCTTGCTGTTTGCTGCCTACTCATTCTGCCTGGAGTATCCTACCCCTTGCTCCCCATCAAACCTAGCTAACCCCCAGCCAATCCTCCAGAATTCACACCAGGCTCGACTTTCTTGGAAGCACCTGTCTTGCTCCTAGCCCACCTTCTTCCACCAAGAAGAACACATCAGGACCCCCTCCAGTGGGCCATTGACACGGTTTGTCTCTGTGTCCCCACCCAAATCTCATCTCAAATTGTAATTTCCATGTATCCAGGGAGGGACCTGTAATCCCCATGTGTTGCGGGAGGGAGGTGATTGGATCATGGGAACGGTTTCCCCCATGCTATTCTCATGATAGTGAGTGAGTTCTCACGATAGCTGATGATTTTATAAGTGTTTGGAAGTTCCTCCATCCCTCTTCTCTCCCCTGCCACACTGTAAAGAAAGTGCCTGCTTCCCCTTCGCCTTCCGCCGGGATTGTAAGTTTCCTGAAGCATCCCCAGCCATGTAGAACTGCAAGTCAATTAAATCGCTTTCCTTTGTAAATTGCCCGGTCTTGGGTATTTCTGTATAGCAGTGTGAAAACAGATTAAGCCAGCCACCACAGAATTTTCTGCCCACTGTCATAACAGCACCTTTCCCTGCATCCTCCTATTCCGACCTCGCCTTCCCCATTTAGAAAACAGGTAAATTCCTACCCTTTGCAAAGAATCTGGACCATCATCCAAGTGCCCTTTCTCTTAACTGTGCTTCTTCTACTTCTCTTTCCTCTCTCTGATTGTTCTATAAATCTTTCTATTAGTGTATCCACATCATTTTATCTGTCTTTATAGCATACCTCCATTGCAACCTAGATTGGTGAGATGTGGATTTGTTTATATGCCAGAGTTGGGGTGGGGAAGGAAAAGGAGAAGAAACAGAACAGTAAGTTCTGGAAGAAGGTGGGTTTTCTACCACTTTTGCAAAGAAACATCACACCTAAGGATGCTCAAGTGAATGGTCTCCTGCATCTTCCTATCAATCAATGCAGCACAAGTTTTCTGTTCCTTAGTGCATCCACTCTTGCCTTATACTTGAGAAAAAAACTCCCATTGTCTATGAAGACACTTGTGGTGTCCTGAAGGAGCTCCAATTTTAAGACTGGAGATAAGTGAACATTTTCAGAACAAGAAAAAGGAAAATGACTTTTGAGCATGCGTAGAACTTTGTCCTCTACGTATGAGTTTCTTCTCATACGTAGAGGACAAAGTTCAACTTCGTTGTCAACTCACTCTTTCAACAAATGCTTGTTGAGAGGTACTATATGCTGGGAACTGTTCTGGGTGCTGGGGATACAGCTGCAAATGTGACAAAATTCCTACTTTTTGAAGCTTGAGAGAAAAGATAACTAAAAAATAAATAATAACGTAATATTGATGCTTCCTATGAGGAAAATAAAGCAAGATAAAGAGATGGATCTGAAGAGAGAGCGAAGTGCTGTTTTAAAGAAGATGGTCAAGGAAGGCCTTTCTGAGAAGGTGACATTTGAACAGAAATCTGAATAATGAGAAAGAGAAAGAAATAATCAAGTAAGACATGGAGAAAGAACATTCCAAGAAATTTAGAATATAAAAGTTGTATTACTCAGGTTTCTCCAGAGAAAAAGAACCAGCAGGATAGACAGAGAGACCTAAGAGGAGGTTTCTTATTTTGGTTTTGGTTTTTGTTTTTGTTTGTTTGTTTGTTTGTTTTTTGAGATAGTGTCTGACTCTATCATCCAGGCTGGAGTGCAGTGTCATGATCATGGTTCACTGCAGCCTTTACTTCCTGGGCTCAGGTGATCCTCCCACTTCAGTCTCCCGAGTGGCTGGGACTACAGGTGCGTGCCACCATGCCCAGCTAATTTTTTGTAGAGATGGGATTTCGCCATGCTGCCTAGGCTGGTCTCAAATTCCTGGGCTCAGGCAATCTGCCTGCCTTGGCCTCTCAAAGTGCTGGGATTGCAGGCATGAGCCACAACACCCGGCCAAGAGGAGATTTATTATAGGAATTGGCTCATGAGGTTATGATGACCAAATCTCACAATATGCCACCTGCAAACTGGAGAACCAGGAATACCAGTTACATAGTTCAGTCCAAGTCTAAAGGTCTGAGAGCCAGGGGAGTCCCTGATGTAACTCTTAGTCTGAGGTCAAAGGCCTGAGAACTGGGAAGAAGCAGGGAGGCAGGGACGCCTGTCTAAGCCCCAGAATCTGAAGGTTCAGGATTGGATGCTTTGATATCCAAGGGCAGGAGAAGATGGGTGGCCCAACTTAACAAAGGAGAGGCAAAATGTGTCCTTTCTCTACTTTTTTGTTCTATTTGTTGCCCTCAACCAATTGGATGATCCTCCCAACCCCCCAGCTCCACCATGTTGGTGAGAGGGGATCTTCTGTACTCAGTCTACAGATACAAATGCTAATCTTTCCTGGAAACACTCTTACAGACACATCTAAAAATCATGTTTTACAAGCTCTTAGGTTGTAAGGGCAGCTCTTAGCTCAGACAAGCTGACACATAAAATTAACCATCACAAAGACATGCAGGAGAAATTGACTTAGTTTGTTCAACATATACAAGAACGTCAGTGGGACCAGAGAACAGTGAATGAGGGGAAAGTGGTAAACATGAAGCCAGAGACAGGCATCTGATGTCCATCATGACAGAGTGACAGGTCAACAAATCCTTACCCCCAAAAGCAACTATGAAACTGGGCAAAACTGGCAACACCCTCCAACCCCCACATTCTGAAATTTAATCAAAGATGTACAGGATATTGAAAAGCATTTATTTGTGAATACTACTAACTTTTGGATAAGAGCAGTGGCTTTCTTGGCCAGGGCTGCTCCCATCTCTCCCCACCCCCCAAACTCTTCAGGTGCCATGGAAACCAGCAGCTTTGCAGTTGCCTTCAGAGTGAGTTTCCTTGACCTGAAGCATTGCTGGTTAACGGGATCTTTGTTCACATTGACAAGTGAAAGGAAGAGCCAGTGATTCCAGTAGTCTGAGGTTGATTATGGCTTGGAAACAACAACAGATAGGCAGATTACTTGGGGATTTAACAGGGATTTCCAAGAGATGACACAG